>NC_000010.11:106355216-106658246 GCF_000001405.40 Homo sapiens | reverse complement strand
GGCATTTAGTATACAGAATGGCTTGGTTCAGGGCGCATGTCAGGCCATGGATGATGCTAGAAAAATGCATTGAGGTCAGGTCGTGGATCTTTACTTTAAACCTGAACTTTACTCTTTAGAATAAGCCCATGGGAAATTTTGAATGATTTTAAGAAAGGAATTGACATAATTGGATTTCATCTTAAGACGACCTTGGCAATAAGAACGTCACTTTTATTTTGGGGGAACTTGAAATATCATAGCAAGTTAATATTTGATACTTAAATACTTTTTTCTAACTTTTTATATTTTAATATTTATTAACGTTCTAAATGTGCTGAAATCTATGCTAAGCCCTTTTCAATGCATTGTCTCATTTAATCTTCCCAAGAACTTTAGGAAAAGATTCCATAATTATCCCTAATTTGTAGGCAAAGAATCAAAGATTTGAGAGAGGATGGGTAAATTGCCCAAATTCATAGAGTAAGAGAATGAATTTAAACTCCGACAATTTGGTTCTACAACACTAGTTTTAACCTTCAGGTCAGTAGTGTTTATTTATTTTCTTGAAAAAAATACACACACACACACACACACACACACACATATAGTGTTATATATTTTTGAGATATATAATATATATTTATTATATATATTATTTCAATACCTTTTGGAGTACAAGTGGTCTTCGGTTACATGGATGGATTGTGTAGTGATGAAGCCTGAGATTTTAGTGCATCCGTCATCTGAGTAGCATACATTGTATCCAATATGTAGTTTTTTCTCTGTCACCCTCCTTCCTCCCTCACCCTTTCTGACTCTCCAAAGTTCATTATACCACTCTCTATGCCTTTGTGTACCCATAGCTTAGCTCCCACTTATAGGTAACAACATGTGGTATTTGATTTTCCATTCCTGAGTTACTTCATATAGAATAATGGCCTCCAGCTCCATCCAAGTTGCTGCAAAAGACATTATTTCATTCTTTTTTTATGACTGAGTAGTATTCCATGGTGTATGTACACCACATTTCCTTTATCCACTCATCAGCTGATAGGCACTTAAGTTGGTTCCATATCTTTGCAATTGTGAATTGTGCTGTGATAAGCATACATGTACAGGTGTCTTTTTGCTATAATGACTTCTTTTCCTTTTGGTAGATGCCCAGTAGTGGGATTGCGGGATTGAATGGTAGATCTAATTTTAGTTATTTAAGAAATCTCCATTCTGCTTTCCATAGACGTGGTACTAATTTGTACTAATCTACATTCCTACCCCATATATAAGCGTTCTCTTTTCAGCACATCCACACCAACATCTATTGTTTTTGACTTCTTAAATTTGTAGTCTTTAACCTTGGCTGCAAACTAGCATCACCAGGGGAACCTAAAAACAAAAACAAACTGATCCCCATAATTCTCAATTAAATCAGCATTTCTGTTTGCAGAGCCTGGGTATCCATCTATTTTAAAAGTACCCCCAGCTAATTCCAAAGGGTAGACGGGGTTGAGATCTACTAAGCTACTAAGCTACTGTCACCTTAGTATACACTGAATACTCAAAAACATCTGTATCTTGCCATCACCACCTCAAAATGTCAAAAAAAAAAAACCTACTAAATAGAAAAGTCACAGATTACAAAGACTTTTAATGCTTCCTTCCAGTTTTACTTTCACAAAGAAAAATATTGCCTTCATCTTTTTTCTTTTCTTTTTTCTTTTTTTGAGAAAGAATCTCGCTCGGGAGTGCAGTGGTGCAATCTCAGCTCACTGCAAGCTCCGCCTCCCAGGTTCACACCATTCTCCTGCCTCAGCCTCCCGAGTAGAGTAGCTGGGACTACAGGCGCCCGCCAGCAAGCCCGGCTAATTTTTTTGTATTTTTAGTAGAGACAAGGTTTCACTGTGTTAGCCAGGATGGTCTCGATCTCCTGACCTCATGATCTGCTCACCTCGGCCTCCCAAAGTCCTGGGATTGCAGGCATGAGCCATCATGCCCAGCCTATTGCCTTCATCTTTTTTAAGACTTCCAGGTAGCAAAGAAGCAAAGTCAAAGAGGGTAGGGGCAAAAAGGAAAATGTGACAGAAGCATATCAAAATAGGGAGGAAGAGAATAGCTAAAAATTGGGGTTGTTGGAGTAGTAAGATCCTATCTACTGGTGAGCCATCGGTAATATCAAAGGCACATTTGCAGAATGTTTCCTTTTCAGTAATTGTACAAAGACTCCCTTGCCATTACAAAGCACTTTTCTTCTTGGCAGATTGAAGAATGCTTTACCAACTAAATGCATCCCAGTAATATTCAGAGCGCAGGTCCAACATAATCATAAGTTGCCTTGTTATTACGGAGGTAGCAGCCCCATTTAATAACATATTAAATGCATTATTCATTTATGTAACTCAGACCCAGGGACAGCTGCTGGGATGAAAATAGAACCATTCTGTAATGCAAAAAGCAGGTGTGTGCTTACTTGAGTAAATGAACTCTGTATTACGGCACAATTTTCTTCTAAATTTCAGGGACAGGTCTGGTAGGGCTAATGTGATGCCATTTTCATACAGGAAATAAAATGGTTTCAGAATGGTTTTTAATGAGCATTTAAAAAAATTACCAACAGCCTTTTCTGTGGCATAGTCCCGGGGGGATGGATTCGTGCTTTGGATTTAAGCAGAACTCCTGTTATTGCAGGATTCAGGAAAGCCTAAGGTAATGATTGATCAGAACAGTGACAAACAAAAGAATATTCTCTAGCTGATGATGCTAGTGGTGATGGTGAACCAGTGTTTCTATAGCTGCCCACCAAGAGAGAATCACAGGTGTGCTTGGATGTTGAGTGATTAAAAATCATAACCTGACTTCAGTTTGCACAGTGCCTTGCCTCTGAAACCTGTAGACAGTCTCTGATGCATGGTGAAACTCACTGAGATGCCACAATTAACCTGGGTGACATCACTGGTCATTTTTTTGCTACTATTGCTGGTACCAGGATGCTATCATACACCAGTGTCTGCATTTTGTGTTTTATTTCCTTCTCTCTCTCACCTGCCCTTATTTTCTCTTTTACATATACTTAAAAGCAACTACAAAGGATTTTTAAAAAAATAAATATCAGATGAGGCCAGGCGTGGTGGCTCATGTCTTTAGTCAGCACTTTGGGAGGCTGAGGTGGGCAGATCCCTGGAAGCCAGGAGTTTGAGACCAGCCTGGCCAATATGGTGAAATGCCATCTCTACTAAAAATACAAAAATTAGCCATTCGTGGTGGCACATGCCTGTAATCCCAGCTACTTGGATGGCTGAGGCGAGAGAATCGCTTGAACCCAGGAGGTGGAAGCTGCAGTGAGCCATAATAAAGCCGCAGTGAGCCAAGTAAAGCCTGGGCAACAGAGCGAGACTGTCTCAAACAAAAAAAAAAAATCAGATGGAATGATGTTCAAATTGCTTAGGCATAACAATGACCAACCAGCATGGGCAGTTATCTTATGTCTGGAGCGGAGTTTTGGTGACCCCCTCATAGGCTAGGTGTTAACCCATAAGTTTCCTAATTGTGAGAAGCAAGGACTCTAAGGACAGGGATCAGCATAGCTGGGTTGGTAAGTGAGATGCTTGGAGGGTTTGGGGATGTGGTAATAACCAATTATTATGCAGATATTTCCACATTTAAACTGGTACAGTTACTGGTATGGACCTCCTGATTACCAGCTTTGAATATCTGGAACACAAGGAGGCCCTCAAGGAGCTTGAATTTCACACAGTCACACCAGGAAGAAAATCATACAAGGTATAAAGAATTCCTATCAAGTAAATCGTAAGGATTCTTTTAAGGGTTTAGAGGAGGGATAATCTTACTCCATTTAAAGTAGCAGTGCAGTAGTAAAGAGGGGATGTGTGCTAGAGACAAATTGTCTAGGTCCTGGCTATTTGATCTTGAGAAAACTAGTTGACACCTATGAATCTCAATTCTTCCATCTGTTTATTGGGAATAATTACATCTTCCTTATTATGGATACTTCTGAAGATAAATGAGTTAATTTATGTAAAGAACTTAGCACAATAACTAGGACATAGTAAGCACTCTCTAAATATGAAATTCCTGCCATTTTACTCTTATATTCAGGGAAATTGTCTTAGAGAAGACAAGAAGTAAGCTGTACCTTAAAGGGTGGGCAAATTTTAGGCAGCTGCTAGGGCATGCAGGAGGACACTGAAGCAGAAAGAGAGAGAGGAAAACAGAAGTACTCTCAAGAAGATTAAAAAGAGAATGGACATGGGCTTATGAGGGAGAAAGAGTCCAGGAAAGCAGAATAAAATTAGCTAGTGCAGGGCTTCATGCCCAGGCCTACAGAATTTACAGCTATCCTAAGGTCATATGAAGTCCATGAAGGTTTTGAACAGAGAAGAAAAATAGTAATAATATTAAATAGAAATAATTGGTAATATTTTATGAGCACTTGCAGAGTATTAGGATACTTTTAAGTACTCTGTGTACATTAACCCATTTAATTCTTACATTTAACATATGAGATAAGCATTAATAATTGACATTGTAGTGATCTATAGTGTTCAAAGTACTTTTCCAGACAGTATCTCCTTTGACTTTCTCACAGAGGAAAGGACATTCACTAGACTTAAACGCATTGGAAAACTATGCCAGTTTTGTAAATAAAGGTTTTCTGGAATCCAGCTGCATACATTCTTTTATGTGTTGTCTGTGTTCACCTTCATACAGTAAGTGCAGAGATAAGTAGTTGTGACAAAGTCTACATAACCTGCAAAACTGAAACATTCACTATCTGGCTGTTTATATAAAAAGTTTGCTGACCTCTGGTCTAGAAGAGTGGAAAGTAAGCTTTGATTGCATCTTATTTGGGCTCTACCACTAACTCTAGGCAAATAAACTTGGGAAATCAAATATATACATACATAAAGTGGTTGCTGCAGACCCAACAGTATAAAACGATAATGGCTAGATAACGCTGAACCTCAAAAATCTTAAAGGTTTGTCATCCTAAAATTGTACATTTTAATTTTCTATGAATCTGATAAATTATATAGGTTAATTCTGTAGAATAATTTTCCCTGTTAAAGCTAAAACAAGAAATAAGCAAAAGAGCATCAATCTGCAAAAACTGAAGTCTCTTTAATGTGAGGTTTGATCATTTAGCCAGTATAACCTCTCATGAAAGACTGAGTAGAAATATCCAGTTTAGCCAGTGTTTTCTGTGCTACACCATTACTGTAGCAGTCTCTATGAGATCTGTGAATGTTGAGTCATATATCTATCATAATCTATTTTTTCTCTGAATTGTAAATTCCTTTGCGATATTTATTACTCATTCTAGTCCTTAATTATATAGCCTTTGAATTATCTCCTAGATTAGCCATCTATGTCTCTCCAACTAGCTTATAAACTTAGTGAGAGTAGGGGCTATATCTTCTATTTCTGTGCATTTCCCACAACTTCAAAATGAAGTGATTCATTAATTTAATAGATGAATAAAACTCAGTTACAATGCTAGTAATAGATACAATGTGTGACCATGATTATCTCTCTGTTGGGTGCTTTATATGAATTAACCCTACTCCTCATAGTAGCATGAAAGATGGTTAGGTGCTTACTGATGGTCCTCAGGGCTAGGCACTATGTCTAATTTTAAAAAGTGGGAATGATTCACATTATAATGAGCTGGTTTACGACTTGAGCTTTTTTCCATTTAGGTACAGGAAGGTGGTTTCCAATAATTGCACTGATGGCGTAAGGGAACAGTACACTGCCAAACCGCAGAAGTGCCCAGGGAAAGCCCCGCGGGGGCTGCGGATAGTCACGGCTGATGGAAAGCTGACAGCGGAACAAGGACACAACGTCACTCTCATGGTGCAATTAGAAGAGGTAGGACTGATTCCTATCTCCCCCCTACTTTCTAGGGCCAGTGATTTTTCTTAATAAACCATGGTTTTGTTTCCATATCTTTTTCAACTTTCTCCATTTTAGATGCTATTTAAAAATTTTTATTTTACTTTTAGTTCCTTGTTTTTCTTTTATTATCACTTCACCTTCCCTGATCTATTTCTTTAATTACTTACATTTCACTGCAAGTTATTCTTCACTCATACTTAATCTCTTACTCTTGGAGGATCTGTTGGATTTAATCTTGCCTTATTGGCACTTTTAGCAAAATCCATTTTCTCAGAATACATAAATAACATTCCTGAAATAATTTAATACGTACATATACTAAACTAACCTAAGAGATGCTAATACTTTCATCCCCTCTCAGCCTGCAGGGTTTTCTTTTCCAAGGGCAACACGATGGTCATGCATATAGCACTGAGGCCAATGTAAACATAATTGAGTGTAATTTCTTTGGCAGTTAAGAGTTTGTATTGTGTAGCACCTCAGGGATATCATTAAAAGCATACATTATTATTTGCCAGATTATGGTTGTCTGAAATGTCTGAAATTTATATGGTGGATAAGATGAAATTTATCTTATATATTTTAGAACATACACAGGAATTCTGTCATCTTGTAAATGGGGAAGATGGTCTCCAAAGGATAAGTACTTACATTAAATCATCTCGATTATTAAACCAAACAGTCCTGTCCTCAGTCACGTTTTCTGGGTACCTAATTATGGTTATCATTGTGTAAAGCTCTGTAAATATGAAGGAATTTTAAAGGCTAACAATGACACCCAGGATTAAAATACATAACATTGACTTCCAACTTCCTCTGCTGATAGTCCAGGGACCCTCAGTTTTTACCATGTATAAGAAAATCACCTGGAGAGCATTTGGAAACACAGTTTTCTTGGCCACATCCTTAAAGATTCTGATTCAGTAGGTTGGAGTAGGGCCCAAGAATATACATTTCTAACAAGTTCACAGGTTGTGCATTGTGCATTGTGCTTCAAGAAAAACAAAACAGTGGCAAGGCTGGGGTATAGAGAAGTCGGAGGCTCTGGAGTGTGACAAGAAGGTGGAAAGATGAAGCAATTATGATTGCTTTGTCAGGTTTGATGAAAATTTTTAGTATTTTGATTCTCATAGGAAAAATAACTGTGAAATAACGAGTTTGAAATCTAGCTCAAACGATGTGCATATCTCTGGTCCAAGGGCCATTTACAGACTGTGTAACCCCATACTCCTTTCCTGATTATCTCCTTGATGTGTGCCTCTCAATTATATCCAATCTTCTAAATACTAAGATGCCCAAAAATTCTTCAGTTGGAACTAGAAAAACACAGGCCAATTTAGGCAAATTGGAGTTGCTCATATTTCACATAAATAAACTCTGGAGGTTTCTGCTTGAGACTATGACAGATTAGCCTGCAGTAAACCAAATATATGCGTATATATTTAGAGCAAGAGGGACAGAGAGAGAGAGAAGAAGAAGAAAAATGAAGAGGAGGAAAAGGAGGACTAGGAGTTAAGAGAACTATCAGGAGGATTGAGAAGCTAAAATTCCTTTCTTAAGAGATGGGAAATTGACTGCAGTGAGTCCAACATTTTATGCTATATTTTCCTTTCGAGAACTTTAGCAATTTATATGCCACACTATAGAGGAGGTTCAGATTTCAGATTTCCAGTAAAAGGCCGAGTAGAAAGTGTTGGCTAAACAGGTGTTAATAAACTCACAAGGCTTGGGAGATAAAAATTGGACTTTGAGGATATTCCAAAGCTAGGACTGATGAGGTCATGTCCCAGGGAGAAGGAAAGCACAGGGAAGCAGCACACATACAGGGCCTTTTTCCTCCCTGAGGTATTTCATAATACCCAAGTAACACAGGAAACATAGAAAGCACTCAATAAGAGGCTGAGAAGTTAAAGGTTTTAGAAGTATCACCCTTCGGGGAGATAAAGATTTGAATTCAAGACCTATCAAGGAGGAGGGCCCTGGTGAACTATCTGAGACTTGGTTCTTGGAACTTCTGGAAATCTCTATCCTAGGAGTGAAGGCAAACCCAAATTAGAACAAGCCCTCTGTACCCAGAAATCCAATCTGAAATCACTTCAGTCTCTGAATCGATTAGAGTGACTCTCTTCAACTCTAAAATGATTGTTAGAAACCAAAGTAAACCTTCTTTAGTGGAAAATAACATAAACCAGAGCTTTACCTAATATTTTTCATATAAAATGTTGGGCATTTAGAAATATCCAAGTATATCAAGATATAGGACCAAGAGGGGGGAAAAACAGAAAAGAACAACAGTTGGATGATATATAGTGTTTATTTAAGATATCCTGTAAAACAACAATGATTATTATGTTCATGAATGTGAGAAAAGGTGGAAAATTGAACCCCAGAGTGGTAATCAATAAGAAATACCAAATAGAAATTGTAAAAATAAAGATATAATAACTGATATTAAGAACTTAGGTTTACAGGAAATTGAACCCATATGAATAGAAGTTAAATGGAAGAAAGGACAGCAGGAAATACGCCATCTAGAGCATAAAAGAAAGAAATAGAATATAGAGAAAAAACAGTAAGAGACAAATGGAAAATGATAAAAAGGTCTAACACAGATGCAATTGTAGCCTCAGAAGGAGAGGAGAGAGATAAGGAACCTGAATCATTTTTGAAAAGATCAGGGCTGAGAATTTTCCAAGCCTGATGAAAGATATCAACATATTAACCTATAGATTTAACAGAATCAGCAAACTCAAGAAGAATATGTGCAAAGAAAAATCACTGAGCTATTACATTCAAACTGCTGAAATCTAAAATCAAACAGAGGTGTTTAAAAAGTCCAGAAGAAAATGGAATGACACCTTTGAAGAGCTGCAGAAAACACAAATAGTTTTTTAGATAAACAATAATAGAGATATTGAAACAAGAAATGTTCCCTTGTCCCCCTAACAGGCGTGTGATGGGGGTGTTGCTCGCTTCTTCAGTGTCCCACTGCTCAAACCTCTAGGGGAGCATACAGGGGCAGGCTGCAGGGCTCTGACCCCACAGCAGTGTCTAGGGGTGAATGTTTACAGCTCCTGAAGCCCCAGTAGGCGTTTGCTACCATGTGCTCTTTCTGTTTTGCGGTCTGTAGACAGCTTGTCTTAACCAGCTCAATTAGACCTTCTACCTTGTCGCAAGGACAGACGGCTTTCTGTATCCCGGGTTCTTACCTTGGTGCACTGGAAGAATCGGATCACACCTGGGCTTGGAGAGTGAGTGCAAGGTTTTATTGAGCGGAGGTAGCTCTCAGCAGATGGAGGAAGCCAGAAGGGGATGGAGTGGGAAGGTTTTCCACTGGAGTCCGGCCACTCAGTGCCCCAGCTAAACTCCGTATAGGATAGTTCTCCTGGTCGGTGGCCTGCTGGCATGCTGGTGCCTGTCGGTGCATTCCTCTCCATGTCCATCTGCCTGTGTGTCTGCTTGCTAGGGTGTCAGGGGTTTTTATAGGCACAGGATGGGGGCAGGGCAGGCTAGGGTGGTCTTGGGAAACACAACATTTGGGTGCAAAGGCAGGAGGGCCTGTTCTCACCTAGGTCCCAGGGCAGGGGCCCAGGGGTGGAGCCCTAGCCAGGGACCAACGCCCTTCCCCCACTTCTGTATCATTTAAAGGGACCATTCCCTTCCCTTTCCAGCACTTCCTTCCATAGCAATATCTGTCATGTAAACCAATGTCTATAAAAAGAAATGCTAAAAATAATTCTTCACACATAAAGAAAATGACCCAGACAGAGACACACACACAAAATAATAGAAGGAATGAAGAGCAAGAAAGGGGGTAAATTGAAATTAATAATAACTGTGCAGACCAAGAATGATAATCAGCTGTGGGATTTAAAATATATGTAGCATTAAAATACATCAGAATAATAGCACAGTATGTGGAGCGAATTAAGTGGAGTTAAAGTAGTTTAAGGTTCATGATATATCTATAAAGAGATAAAAATACTAATATATATTAGACTCCAACGTATCCAAAATGTGTGCTTCAATATCTAGAGTAACAACTGAAGAAGTAGTAAGAGAATCTTATCATCAAGCTACTGACAGGGGAATTACAGTAACTTTAAAAGGGTTTCATTAATCCAAAGTAAGACAAGTAAAAGAGAAAAAAAAGAATATAATACAGTTGAGACAAATAGAAAACAAATACTAAAATGGTAGATATAGGAATGGTGCGGTGGATCCCAACATTTTGGGAGGCCAAGGTGGGAGGATCATTTGAGTCCAGGAGTTTGAGACCAGCTTGGACAACTACCAAAAAAATAAAAATAATTAAAAAAAATAGCCAGGCGTGGTGTCGTGTGTCTGTGGTCCCAGCTACTTGGGAGGCTAAGGTGAGAGAATCACTTGAGCACAGGAGTTCAAAGCTACAGTCAACCATAATTGCGCCACAGCACTCCAGCCTGGCTGACAGAGCGAGACCCTGTCTCAAACACATTAAAATTAAAATTAAAAAACGGTAGATATATACTCAAATATCAGTAATTATATTTTGAAAATTAGTGATTTTTGTCACTTCAGTGCTTTTTGTCAGGCTTAAGAAGTCTTTATCTAAACCAACATTGTGAAAAAAGTCATACCACAAGATTTCTCTTTAGGTTTCACATTAATGTGTATGATTTATCTTGAATAAAGCTCTTTCAGGTTTCTATATTTCATCCACATGCATATCCAATTGTCCCAATACCATTGAAAAACTGTTCATTTCACGCTGAATTGCTATGAGCCTTTGTCATAAATCAATTGACTATTTGTGGTTCCATTTCTAGGCACTCTATTCTGTTCCCTTGTGAATTTAAAACCTATCTTAATTACTAATTTCAAACACATGATATTTTCACTAGAGTTAGGGTGAGTCTTGATACCTGGACATATAAATCCTCTACACAAGTAGAAAATTGTGTGTGTGTGTGTGTGTGTGTGTGTAAAATTTATAATAGCATCAAAATACAACAAACATTTATACTCAAATCTAAAAACTTATTTTCAATAGCACTACCCAGAAAACAACACAAATTTGGAAATAAATTTTGAAAAATACCTGAATGAATGGAGGGATGCATCCTGATCATGGATTGGAAGACTCAGTATTATAAAAAGACATCAATTTTCTTCATATTGACTTGAATTAAAAGCAATCTGAATAAAAATCTCCAGCATGTTTTGTGTATTAAAATTGACAAGATCACAAAATTTACACAAAATTTCAAGACCTGAAGAATAGCAAAGATACTTTTGAAGGTGACTCACAAATTTGGATGACTGACATTACCATATATATATATATATATATATATATATATATATACACATACAAACACACATATATATACATATATATGTATGTATATCATAAACAAGCTGAACAAGGAGAGTCAAGAAACATATATACATGCATATATTATATATATATAGACACACACCCACCCACTTTATGACAAATGAGACACTGCAGTACAGTGGAGAAATTATAATCTTTTCAATACATGGGTGCTACAATTTTGAATATCCATATGGGAATACATGAATCTTTATCTCACATAATATACAAACATAATTATAACTGGATTGTCAATCAAAATTTGAAAGCTAATACTAACATTTATGTATTTATTTATTTTTTTTGAGTCTCACTCTGTCGCCCAGGCTGGAGTGCAGTGGCAAGATCTCAGCTCAACCGCAACCTCTGCCTCCTGGGGTCAAGCGATTCTCCTGCCTCAGTCTCCCGAGTAGCTGGAACTACAGGGGCATGCCACCACACCCAGCTAATTTTTGTATTTTTAGTAGAGACGGGGTCTCACCATGTTGGTCAGGCTCGTCTCGAACTCCTAAACTCAAGTGATCCTCCCACCTTGGCCTCCCAAAGTGCTGGGATAACAAGCGTGAGCCACCGTGCCCAACAATACTAACATTTCTAAAAGAAAGCACAGAAGAGTATCTTCATGACCTTGTGTTATGCAAAGACTTTTTTAAAACAGCAAAGAAAACCCATTTAGTATAAAGGAATTATACCAACAAATCTCTTTATAATTATACTAATTTTATTTTTATTTTTATTTTTTTGAGATGGAGTCTACCTTTGTCACCCAGACTGAAGTGCAAGTGGCATGATCTTGGCCGCCTCCCAGGTTTAAGCGATTCTCCTGCCTCACCCTCCTGAGTAGCTGGGATTACAGGTGCCAGCTACCACACCCAGCTAATTTTTGTATTTTTAGTAGAGACAAGGTTTCACCATGTTGGTCAGGCTGGTCTTGAACTCGTGACCTCAAGTGATCTGCCCACCTAAGCCTCTCAAAGTGCTGGGATTTACAAGCGTGAGCTACCACGCCCAGCCTAATTATACTAATTTTAAATAGGACTACATTAAAATTAAGAATTTCTGTTATTTAAGGCATTATTTCAAAAATAAAAAATTAAGTCCTAGAGGGGAGAAAGGTATCTATAATAATACGTTTTCAATAAGCTATTATTATTAAATTAAGCCCTAGAGGGAAAAAAGTATTTGTAATAATACCTTATTGAAAAGGTATTATTACAGTAATAAAATAATAAAATTATTTTGTTATGTTTTTTATTATTTTTATTATGCAAAATAAACATAATTTTAATGAGGGAATCATAATTAGAAGAGTATAAATAAATTCTACAAACTAATAAGGGAAACACTGGTAACTCAACAGAAAATGCACAAATGACTCAGAATAACCAAATAGCCAATAAGCATATGAAAAAATTCGGAACATCCCTATGTAATGCAACTTAATTTATAATAATATATCACTGTGCACCATCAGAAGGTTTACATTTTAAAAGACTAATAATAGGCTGGGTGCAGTGGCTTACACCTGTAATCCCAGCACTTTGGGAGGCCAAGGTGGGCAGATCACTTGAAGTCAGGAGTTCAAGACCAGCCTGGCCAACATGGCGAAACCCCATCTCTACTAAAAATACAAACAAACAAAAAACAGCTACAAACAAAATGAGCTGGGCATGGTGGCACGTGCCCGTAGTCCCAGCTACTTGGGAAGCTGAGGCAGGAGAATCGCCTGAACCTAGGAGGTGAAGGTTGCAGTGAGCTGAGATTGCACTACTACACTCCAGCCTGGTTGACAAAGTGAGACTCCCTCTCAAAAAAAAAAAAAAAATAATAAGACACCCTCTCAAAAAAAAAAAAATGCTAATAATATCAGGTGTTATTGAGTATGTGGAGCATCTGGTCATTCATATAATGCTATTTGGAGTGTAGATACATACTGCCATTTGGGACTTGTTTGACATTAACTGCTCTAGCTGAACATGTATACCACCTATGTCCCAGCGTTTCCACTTTTAAGTATATACTCATCAGAAATGCATACACATATGCACCAGAATGTATGTAAGATAATATGCATTGCAAAAGTATTCGTAAGAGCCCTCACTGGAAACAATCTAAACATTCATGAATAGTAGAATACATAAACTACAGTATATTTACAGAATGGAATGTCATACAGCAATGAAAAAGAGCAAACTAAAGCTATATGCAAAAAACTTGGATAAATGTCATATCCATTATTGAGCTAAAGAAGTCAGACTAAAAAGAATATATGTTGCATTATTCCATTTAATTAAAATGCAAAAATAGTCAAAGCTGTTAATAATTCATGGTGGCCGGGTGTGGTGGCTCACACTTGTAATCCTGGCACTTTGGGAGGCCAAGGCGGGCAGAACACAAGGTCAGGAGTTTGAGACCAGCCTAGCCATCACAGTGAAACCCCGTCTCTACTAAAAATACAGAAATTAGCTGGGCGTGGTGGTGGGCACCTGTAATCCCAGCTACTTGGGAGGTTGAGGCAGGAGAATTGCTTGAACCTGGGAGGCGGAGGTTGCAGTGAGCTGAGATCACACTACTGCACCCCAGCCTGGGTGACAAGAGCTAGACTCCGTCTCAATAATAATAATAATTATTATTATTATTCATGGTAATAGAAGGGAAAAATTATTGTTAACTTTGGAGGCGGAGTGATTGGAGAACTTTGAGTGTACTGGCAGTTTTCAGTTGGTTCATCTGGGCAGCAGCTAATGGATGCATTCACTTTGTAAAAATCAAGTTGTATATTTAGTGATTTGTACATTTTTAATGTATATTTTACTCAACAAAAAGCTTACTTAAAAATCATTTCAGAAATCCATATAAAATATAGTACTTTATATCTAGGTATTTGGGCAAAAAAAGGAAAAATAAGAAAAACCTTTCTGGTATGCTTAGGGCCGACCTTCCACCCTGTGTTTACCTGCAAGGTGAATGTGAAAGTTCTCTTCCCAGAGACATGAGACACCTGATCCTGATACCCAGAGAACTGTCATCTTTTGAAGCAGCAGATGTTTATACTATAGCAGAGTTCAGAAAGTTTTTCCGTTTCTAAGAACACAATATAGCAAGATCTGAAACAAGAACTTTCACTTCTGATTAGCTCCAACCTTTGTGCAAATGATAGAGAACACACTTCAGGGACAGAGGCCTGGTTCTCATCTGTTCAACTCTGCTTTCCATGTAATAAAGATCATCATCAGGCATCTCACACTGGGTTGAGTGATGTGGGAACAGATTGGGGAATCTGGTTCGAAGATATGTGAATTCATGCCTTCTGGGCACAAGAAGGAAAAAAGATAACAAGTCAGTTCACTCCACTTGAGTGGGCAAAGCTTCAACAGCAGGGATGAAATCTGCTGCCTCCAGCTGTCAGATCTGGTTTCTTGACACTCTGTTCTCCTGGTGCAGAGCACCAAGCCAAGAGCATCTTCTTTATATCAGGAGGCCCTGAGGACCTCACATGTGATTGTGAGATGCTGTGCTAATGATTCAGACTCCTCCTTGCAGAAAAAGACCCTCAATTTCTCTATGACCCTCTGGATTATATACGTAGGCACGGGAGGTGCACGTGATTGGCAATGCAGAATGAAGAGACACAGAGTGTCTCTGAAAAGCTGAGGAGAATTGACACTTGACACAATGATAATAATGTGATTATCCAACATTTATTGAGCACCACTGTTCCAGTTTGTGAGTGCTTTTCATGAATTATCTCACGTAGATCTTACAGCAACTCTATGCAAATAGGTGTTATTGTCATTTTGTTGTCATTTTATATGAGGCACAGAAAGGCAAGTAACTTACCTGAGATCACACAAATGCTAACTATTAGAGCCTAGGGTCTAATCCAGGATCTATGGTATCTTGTCTTTCTGTTGCTTCTCTCTATGGTGAAGGAACCATTTTCTAAGAAGAACTTCATGTAGCTCCTAAGCCTCTGTAGAAACCCACGGCTGGGATTATAAGTAGTCACAAAGATCAAGGAGTAGAAAGAAAAGGCCAAATCATCAATGACCAAAGCCAGTTTGGCCTGTGGCTCTTATATTCTTAGACACTAATCAATAAATCTACCAAAATTTTCCTCCTGGCTTCTCTGAGAATACTAATGGCTTGGGATCCATTTGTGGAAAAACATTTCAGCAAAGAGAGATGCGAAATCCTCTCTGGGTTCCCCCTCTTTGGAAAATGATGCCTTTGTTGAATGCCTAGTGTGCCTGACACTGTTTATCTATTCTAAAGAATATTGCAAAAACATAGGATATGAATGCAGCACCCAAGGAATTTAGAATACGTGTATTTCTTCAGAGGCTTGGGTATAAATTAAGCCATAATATTTTTTAATTAAATCCAAAACAAAGACAAAAAATCCCTGGCATGTGCCCCTACTAGCAATACATGGTGTCTTTATTCTCCTCAAAATCCATATGAGTGCATTTCTTATTTGAATTTGATCCTTCTGAATTTACTTTGAAAATAGTGCCTGAGTCTTGCCCCATTTCTGATATCAATTCTTTATAAAAACAGGGATCTTCTGATGTCAAAAGATCATGCTTCTGATGCCTGTAAAGAGCAAGTCCTCTAGGTACCAAAGAAACCTAGAGGTCCCTGCTAGGTTCTTATATGACATCACAGTGTGATTAATGCAGAGAGGGCAAAAGATTCACCTCCCCAAGTTGTTAACAATATTTTTTTCATGTGAGTACCAGAGCTTGTGCCTCTATCCATGTTAACTCATGGTTCAACTTTCTCCTACAGTCTTGTCTTCCTTCGATGGAGCTAGGTTGGCTTACGGACTGATCTAAGCCTCTTTTCTTTGTCCCAGTTACTTGCATACAAACCTCTCCATGTAATTTCCATCTCCTCTGCATTTCATCTAAACCATTAGAGACCTGAGGAATCAACTGTCTCAGCAAATAGTTAGATGTTTGTATTTATTTATTTGTTCTTTGACAAATATTTTACCAAGAGCCAATTTTATATCATGTACTTTTCATTCATTAATGGACTTACTTTAGTTTGTGGGAATATATGTTTTGGTTTGACTAGGACCTCTGTTATATTGAGTTTTAAGTAAAAATCTAATGACATGAAGTAGAAAGTGCCTAACACCTTATATCCATTGGAAATAAAAAAGATTAATAATAAATTATCTAAATATAATAAATTATAATGCAATAATTTATTGCATTATTTTGTAATAATATTTTTGGCATCCGCCAGTAAACTATACATATCTTTAAGGTAAGAATCATGTCACTCCTGATTGCAGTTCCCACATCTCTGTACAATGTGCCTAACATATTGATAGAAACTCAATAAATGTATGTGGATTTGGATAGCCTTCCCCAAGAAGCATAGAGATAAAACTGAAACTTAAAAGACTCTTAACATTTGAAAAACAGTCAAAACATGGTAAAGTCTTCATCTGAAATCTAAATCTCTTCCTTAATCCTTTCCTAGACATGCATTAGAATGCATGTCCTAATTCTAGCATAAGAATATCAATGAAAACATGGCTAAAACCGTAGCAAAGAGGAGCACTTCTTATTGACAGAAAATAATAAAAGGCTAGGTACACTGATACTAGTTTGCAATTTTACATACAGTAGTATGTACTCAAGCCAGAAAATTACAGATTTAATATGTGCAAGAAATGGGATTCTTTCCTGCAAATAGCATATGGGGTCACCCTCAAAACCTAGATGACAGAAATACCTCCATAACACAATTCCTCCAAAATCCCACAACTTAGCTCACCTGATATGTTACTCAGAGAGCCACATAGCTATTCTGAGGTTGATGAAAAATTCCAATGTCATCAATACCACCTGCCTCATTTCCTGCTGCTTTTAGGGTTCTCTCCAAGTGTACTCTCATGACAGAACCTTCATTAGCAGCAGAAGGCAAAGGAGCAGTCGTACTTCCATCCCAGACTCACTGTGGCAGATGCAAGAAGAACACACATGCACGCGCACACAAGCACACACAATGCATTTATGCATCATTATGGCCTTAAAAATAAAGAACAATTAATCCAAGAACCAACTGGAAGAGGAGTAGAGAAGTCCATAAAGTTGAGTCTAAGATGCCGGACATTTTCAAACCATGCCTGACTTTTAGAAAGCTGATTGAAGGTGTTTTGCACTGAGACCCAAGCATGCAGTGAGAGGTGGCATCTCTGTGCTTGGAGACTCACTCAAGATGGATGTCCTCTGGACCACTAATGAGAACCTAATGAGCCTATAGACTTTCAACACAATAACTCAGCTTCCCAGAGAAATCCAATGCAAGAACCTGAAGGCACAGGATAAATGGCAAAGGCCCCAATCAGTCTGAAGAACTCAACAAAACTGATTTGGGAGGCATTCGTTTGAGAGAACTGGTAGGCAGAAGTAGTATCTGCATATTAAGGAAGATAATTAAATCTGTTTTAAGCAGCTGTAAGAATAAAGAGATGCAATTCTCTGCATAATTTAAGACTTTTAAATTAAATCTGAGGCTAGGGACGAAAATTAAAACTTTGATCTGTATCTCATTGTCTTAATACTTCAATTTACATACAAAGACTGAAACTTAATAAGGAAAATTCATGATTATCACTTTTGTGAGATTTAACTCCAAAACATGAGGACTGTGTCCTCATTAGACAGGTTTCAATGATCCGTAATTTCACATACATTGAAAGACTTATGGGAGCACTAAAGTACCCACAGTGTAATAACACTTCATAAGTATTGCAGGATGCTGTCAGCCATCAGATGGTAGAGAAGATGGCTGTTGATAAAAATTTCTTCAAGATACTCACTTGTCTGAATTCATGACACAATTTGACCTGCTTTTTCATCTGGAGAAAAGGCTATTTGGAGCCTTTAGTGGTGGCACAAAGGGTTAATAAACAGTGTTATGTTGAGGCAGGCATCAGTTTCTTTTTCTTTCTTGTTTTTTTTTTGAGACACACCCTGTTGCCAGGCTGGAGTGCATTGGCGTGATCTTGGCTCACTGCGACCTCCACCTCCTGGGTTCAAGCAATTCTCCTCCCTCAGCCTCCCGAGTAGCTGGGGTAACAGGCACGTGCCACCACACCCAGGTAATTTTTGTATATTTAGTAGAGACGGAGTTTCACCATGTTGGCCAGGATGGTCTCGATCTCCTGACCTCGTGAGGCAGGTATCAGTTTCTAAGCCAGCTTAGTTCTGACGTAGATGCCTCAACTGTTTTCTCCCTCCATACAAAGGAGTGGAAGCTGATTTCGATGAGCCTTAGAGATTTGAGGCTTTCTCCTATGTTATTCCTTACTCCATTCAGCATTATTCTCTTTGACTCTAGTAAGGTAATTGAGCCACTTCATTTCTTCTTGCTTTTTGTTGTTGAAGGAAATGAGGCAGGCAATATAGGTTGTCTTTAGCCGGAAGCCTAATGTCTGAAGTTCAAGTTGGATTGGTTAGCAACTCTTTCTAAGTCTCCACTTCTCACTCCCCTCAAAACTAATCCACATATATTGGAATATTGCTGTTCTTTAGGGTCTCAAAGAAAAGATGTTTGCTAAGAACTTTAGTCTGACTTAGATACCTGGCTCATTACTGACAGTTCCAGTTCGGCAAACATCCCAGAGGCTAGATTCATGAAATAGTCTTCAGTTTGGATTTTCAATCTCCTAGTCTGCCTACTTGAGGCCCTAACAATACTAATGTCCCACTTCATCCACATGGGTGGTCACTACCCCTGAATCAGGGTTTCACCACACCATGCAATCCTCGCCTGAGTGAGTAACTTCCTCAGGCTTCTGGCTTTGCACTTTGCCATTTATTATTCCATGACCCTCTGCTCAGCCGCTCAGTCCTCAAGCTGGTCTACCATTAATGTGCAGTGGTAAGTCTCTACCTATGACAGCAGCACTTGAATCAGTTCTGCATCTTTACCTGAGATCTGAGCTTATCTCAGCAGCTCAAATTGACGTTAGAATATATATATGTATATGTGGATGCACAATAATGCCAATAACAAGAATAATAGAATTGTAAAAATCACAGATTATCTGACTTGGAAGTGACAATTAGGATCATCAGGTCCTACCATCTTTAATTTACAGGTAGAGAAATTGAGGTCCAAATAAACAATGTTTTTTGAAGGACACAAAACTAGGTCTTCTAATTCCCAGGTTGCCACCTGACTTTTGTAGGGCACCTCTTTCACATACAGCACCTCTTTAAAATAAATTACACAACAACCTAATAATTTAGAAGGGGGATGAAGTGACTTCCAGGGCAAGAAATCATATATCCATTTCATAGAAGAGGTCTTATGACTTGGTGAAGACCACCAAGTGATACTAGGTATAAAAGTTTAAGCTATTTAAACATATTGACTGCATAATGCTAAAAATAGTATAGTGATTCCAGTGTTATAGGGGTGGTATCTGTGTCCATGTGCATTCTCATTGATTAAAATGATATTCACCAACAAGGTAATCTGTGGGTGATATAATTATGGGTGATTTTAATTTTCTTTGTCATTATTTTATGTATTTCTGTATTTTCCCAATGAATGTACCGTGCCTTTTTTTTTCTTTATTCTAATAAAGCTAACATATTTCTGTTACATATTTTACTACTAGGAAACCTGGTTCTATAGAGATTTATTCCTAAAGGAAACTTCCTACCATTTTTAAAGTATATATAGTTTTGTTCTAATTACATAGCTGAATGTCTTTACTTTATGAGTGAATTCCAAAAGTCACTCAAAAACATTTTAAGATTTATGTCATTTGGCAGCCCCCTAGTTTTCTAGCCAGAGCCTGCTGATGTAATTCCTACAGCCACATCATGCAGTGGTAACAGTATAGCAATGTCCTTTATTATCTAAAAAGTGCTTCCAAAGTGCAATGGGTCAAGGTTCTGAACCTCTCTGTACCATAATATCTAGAGGGAGTACAGAGGCCCCAGCTCATAGTCATTATCTGCTTACACAAGCTAAGTATTCCTCCTGTCTTATGTATTCTGTTGCATTTTAAACCAGACACCAAGTACAGAAGACATAAAAGGGAAATTTGGGATTCAGTCAAATACATGGTACTATCATCCATTTCTAAAGGAAGGACCAAACCACTTTGTGATGTTCCTATTGGAATGCCTTGATCTGGGCATTAGATCCAGAAGTATTTGGGTATTTAGTTAGGCAAGTCCCAAGGATCTGAGTCCTCTTAGAAGGGCCTGAAAAAACAGCCATCTTCATTTCATCTGAGAGAAAGTGAAATGTCATAAATCTAGGCAGATGATTTGATGTGTTCAAAGTGTGCTGTCTCTGAAATTCATGGTCTTGACAGATCTGAGTTCTCTAGAAAAATTGTAAAACCTTCTGCACTATCCTCTTCACTGGCGACTCTTCATCCCCCAGGTCAGAGCATCTAAGTTCACTGTAGGTTTTGCTTGCACAGAAGCTCAGGAGGTCTGCACATTTGGAGAAAGACGTGTGCTTTAGAAAACCATCTTTGAATAGGCAAGGGGAGAAGACTGACAATACTCCGTAATTATGCATGGATTTGGACATTTTAGAGTCATCTTCCAGAGCTCAGTTTTGAAAGTGAAGAAACACCTATACAGCATGATTCAAACCAGACATCCTGGGAACACTCTGTCCTAGCTGCTTTGGTGAGGAAATTTTGGCTTTCAGCAGTGCCAGCACCTCTTGGAAGAGAAGCCAGAGAGGACAAAGAACTTGCTTGGGAACAGAAGATAGGGCATGTGCAGCTGCCTTTTATCCTAGACTGGTTTTTAACTGTTCTAGAAAAGCTCAGTTTACTATTATAAAATGTCACACAAGAAGGTCCAACACAGTTTCAACAGTTGTTTCCTGATTAGTCATCTCAGACTTTGTCAAACACTCACACTACCAGGAATCCTCACAAACCCATTTTGTAGCTTCTGGGGTATTTTACAGAGCCTGGCATATTACACTGGGATCATCTTACATCACTTTGGCATTCCTCTAAAGGGTTGTAGTTAGCGAAGCTTACAAAGTTCTTTGGTTTCACACATCAGTGAATTCATTCTTTAGCACCCATCTGGGAATGAGCACCACAGAGTAGTTTGAGTGTTTTCTGTGAACGAGTTGTAAGAGTGCTGGACTCGGAGTTAAGAACAGCCTGATTCAAACTAGTCTTGTGACTCTAGGCAAATTTGAACAGGTCTGAGTTCTTTTAGGGTTGAAGATTGATATGGTTTGGCTCTGTGTCCCCACCCAAATCTCATCTTAAAATGTAATCCCTATAATCCCCAGTGTCGAGGGAAGGACCTGGTGGGAGGTGATTGGATCATAGGGGTGGTTTCCCCCATGCTGTTTTCATAATAGTGAGTGAGTTCTCAGAGATCTGATGGTCTTATAAGTATTTGACAGTTCCTCCTACAAGACGTGCCTGCTTTCCCTTCCACTATGATTGTAAGTTTCCTGAGGCCTTCCCTAGCCATGTGGAGCTGTGAGTCAATTAAATCTCTTTTCTTTATAAATTACCCAGTCTCAGGCAGTTCTTTATAGCAGTGTGAAAACAGACTGATACAAAGTTTAAATAAGATAATATATAGAAAGTAGTTGCTATTTCTGACACAGTAAACTTTCAAAAAATGTTCTCTGTCTTCTCCCTTAGTGACCACCCAGGGGATCTTGTAGAGCAATTGTTTTCCTTTTCTATTTTTTTTTTCTTTAGTGAGAGAGTGGTTCACTCTGTTATCCAGGCTGGAGTGCAGTGGTGCAATCATGGCTCACTACAGCCTTGACTTCCCGGGCTCAAGTGGTCCTCTCACTTCAGCCTCGTGAAGTGCTGAGACTATAGTCATGAGCCACTGCACCCAACTAGATCAATCTTACTTGCACTCTCACTTTGTATACAAAGTCGCATGCCATGCATTTACTACACTGGCTGATGAAATCTCTTCTCTGCACGCCAGGGTACGTTGAACTGTTATTTCCTTTTCCACTCCTTGTCGAGACCTTGCTAACCTGAGTCTACCTCCCTAGAGTAGGGTATGCAGGATAATGGTGAGCTACTTTTATTTCATAATCCCTACTCTGCCTAAATATCCTTAGTCATACAAAGAAATGGCTGAAATATCTGATTTCCTTTCTGTCACTCAGTGCCGCTTAATGATGTGTGAAAAATCTTACTTTGTGGTCAAAATAACACAAAAATAACAACAAATTCAGTTGGTTGTATTCCATCATCAGTCAAAACAAAGTCTTTGTTACATTGATTATTTCCAATGTACTTAACCCATATTTAAATATTTATAGTAATAGTAGAGGTATAGTGTTGTATTTTGTAATGTTTCTTGTGTTATTCAGTACTCTACCCCCTTTTAAATTTGGAGAAATATTTATTTCCCCTCATTCACTCCTCCTTTCTTTGAATCCAGCTGATCCCTTCCTGCCCCTCACTTCACTCCACTCCCAGGGTAATCAATATTAACAGTCTGGGTTACCTTTTGCTTCACCTTTCTCTGTACTCGCACAAACACATACAGATTTATGGTATATTTACTGTGTTATTTGTTGCTTATTTTTTTATTAAAAATGGGTTATACTAGTGATTTTTCTGCAATGTGGTTTCTGCTTTCTTCCAAGAAAAATGTTGATGAAGCTTGAGTGAGGGCCACTGTCATGCTTGCATGGACCAGGTTCTGATATACGAGCCTGGTGTCTATCTGCAATGGGTCTCTGATGCCTTAAGGGACATCTTGGAGTCTCACTTCTGGACTGAGGCTGTCCGTGAGGAGTTTCCATAGCATTTATTGTCCCAGTGTTCTCTGAATCTGTGTTACAGGAACTGATAGGTTCACACACCTTTCATTGCTCAGGTTAATATTGGCTTCCTGGTGGCCATTTGATAAATTTGTTTTTCTATTCTAGACGTCAGCAATGCCCTTGGAGAATAGAATCATCACGTGGATTTCATGTGGGTTTTGTGCCTTTCTCAGGCACTTCTTTTGAACTAGTCTTCTCAATTCTGTGTCTGTATTAGGACATGTGACTAAAGAGCATTAGATCTGAAGAATTTTATAATAGTCTAGATGTTTGCCAGCCTGGATTTAGTTTCAGAAATGATTTCTTTTGAGTTATTAGATTGAAGTATTTTTCAATTAATTATACACAAGACTTTCCTGACTACTGATTATGAATACCAATTGTTTCTCATATTCTCTATCTTCTTTACGGCTTAAACATGATACTGTCTTACTAGTGGGTAGACAGAAGCAGAGTATTGAGTAAATGCCAACCTATCATCGTTAGAGAGGAAAAGAGAGTCAAAGCCAGGAATACAGTCAAGCAAGAAAAGAAAATAATGCTTTATCTTTGTTACCACCTTCCTCTTGGTCTGAAAGAAATATTGCGAGTAATTTCAATTAAAGAAACTCAAAGAGAACTGAACTGAATAGGTCAAGTCAAAGCACAGATCATCTTAAACCCTTTTGCAGGTGTCTAACTAGCTGCGTGACTTTATGCATCTTAACCCCTCTGTGCTCCAGTTTTTCTGTTATATCAAACATAAATAACATCTGTCCTTTCTATCTCCTAGATGTCCTAACATCCACATGAGATAATATGTAAGAAAGCATTTTGACAAACACACAATAGAAATGTGCAACTTTCAAATTATATGGAACTAAAAAGGATCATTCGCAGGTGTTGCATTAAGGCACTGAAGATACATTAACAAGACACTTCCTAGCCCCGCCGGAGTTGACACAGTCTACCCTAGTACCACCCAGCAACTCATTTTCCTAGCGAAGTTTGCTAATCTTGGCTGCGTGTATCATGACACTTTTGTTTGTGATTATGCTTCAGTCCACAATGAATTTAGTCTTTCCATTCCCAGCCTTATTAATACACCCTTAGTACTTACAGTCCTAAAGCTTCCTGGTAAAGCTTTTTCATCATATTAAAATCAGATAAGAATAGCATCTGCTTGTGCTATAGTGTTCATCTTCAGATGTATCCGACCACAAGAAGACCTAATATTCAACAATCAGAATGAGAGGGCCTCAGCCTTTGCTACAGCCTAGCATCGGCTGCAGACCTCAGACTGCAGCAGGACTGGGCATCCTCTCAGAGGCCTCAAAACAGTGCTGGGTCTTGGGTAGTAGTTGGACATCCAGATTAAGAAATAAAACTCCTAAAAAAGATGTTGATATCAAAGGCCCAGAATCACTGATTTCAAAACCAATAAACTATGAGAGTTAATTTTGACAGAAAGGTGCATATAATTTTCTGCTGGAGATTTTTTGTTTGTTTGTTTGTTTGTTTAATCTACTATCATCTATCCTAGAATACCTCCAAATTGGCTTTCCAACACACTTCCAGTTCATCTCCATATCATAGCCAGAGTGATCATTTTGAATTAAAAATATCATCATGCCATCTTCCCTTAAACCCCTACTTAGAACACTTGAATCATTAAGTTGATCTTACAGAATAGGAGAGTAGAATGGTAGCTACAAGAGGCTGGACAGGGAGAGATTGGTTAATGTGTCCAAAATCACAGTTAGACAGGAGGAATAAATTCGAATATTCTATAGCACAGTACAGTGTTAACTTTCGTTAACAATAATTTATTATATATTTCAAAATAGCTAGAGGAAAGGAATTTGAATGTCTCCAACACAAAGAAATAAAAAAGATTCAAGGTTATAGATATCACAGTTACCCTGATTTTATCACTACATATTATATATATGTATTGAAATATCACATATACCCCCATAAATATGTGTGATTATTATCAATTAAAATTTTAAAAACATTTAAAAAGTAAAACACTTTAATGGCTTCTCATTGCTCTTAGGAGAAAGATAAAAATCAGGAATTTGACCCACAAGTCCCAGAAGGTATTTTTCTCTGCTTTAACCTCATTTGGTAACATGTTCTTGTTCTCTCTCTCTTTTTCCTCCTTCTTTTTTAATTTCTTCAACCGTACTATCTCCCTCTACCACAGGGCCTTTGCACATCTGTTCCCTCTGTTCCCCTGGCCTGCACTCTCTCACTTGTGCCTCACTCATTCATCTCCTCCATTTGGTTAATTTACCTTCTTCTTTCAGGTCTTCTGAGCTCAGATATCACTTCCTTTTGGAAGCCTTCTTTGAAGTTCCCAATCAGATCGGCTCTCCAGTCCTGCATATTACAAAAGCTTACAACTCCATGTACCTTTCCTTCATGTCACCCTGCAATAATTTTTTTTGCATGATTAGTTAATTAAAGTGCATGTGTTTCACTAGTGGTCTGTAAGCTCATGAAAGCCCAGGCCATATTTATTTTGTTTGTTTGGCTATTGCTTGCTTAATAACATTTTCCCATTTGGTGACTGACATGAGATAGACAGTCAATAAATATCTGACTGTTGGGTGAATGAGTGAATGACCAGAGCGCCGGTAGGGTGAGTATGTCTACTCAATAGTTATTAGGACTTGGGCTGCCTTCCCTTTGCTCGGTTTCTTATTCTCTGAAAGTGGCTGACATCCTTGCTTCCAGTGGTCATTTGAGCCCAGGAACACCGGAATCTGATGACAGATGAGCCCCAGCGTGAAGCTGTTACAGTGGCCGTAGCCTTACCACTTACCTGAGAGCTCCTGAAGGAAAAGGCATGGAATCCAGTTTGTTCACCTTTAGTGGAAAGCGACAGCAGGAATATAATCAGCTGCCTTCTGCTGTCATACATGGCCCCTTGACATTCTTATCTCCTAGTGCAGAGTCCAAGCCAAGAGGCCTATCCCAATATCAGGAGGTCCTGGGGACTTCACATTTGATTGGAGTATTCCATGTCTTTGTCTTCAGGGGCTGTCAGGTGCATGTTAAACCTAATACCTGATTCTATCATGTAAAGTATGATCTGTTATATAATTATATATAAAATACCTGACCTAACACCCTAATAACCTGACTCTGAAATGGAAACCTTACTAATGCCCTAGTCCAAACATTGAGTAGCTCCATCCTTTCACCCATTATATACACAGAGAGCATTCCATGAATGGACAATGAAGAATCCTATCATGAAACAAAACCCAGCAAGACAGACAGTAGACATCAAGAGAGATAGAAATTGGAGGGTTTTTATGTAACTGGTCTTGATCCAGGACAACAAAATGGAAGTGATGAAGACCAGACAGAAAGGGCAAGGCAAGGTAGACTCAAGCAATGGCAGCCAAAGTTGTATTCTTCCCAGCTGTGTGAGTGTCTGCTGTCTCTCAATGGAGGCTGAAGTAGAGTTGACTGAAGGTGTGAATCTCCCCTCTGTCCTTTAGCAAATGATGGCCCCTGCCTGATGCTCACTCTGTCACCACAAAGTACTTTAAACTTGTCTGTCTCCCTCTTCCGTCATGTCCTCCCCCCTCTCTAGTGGAAACTGCATTCCTTGTTTTATTCCATGGATAACCCCAGATACCCTTGCTATTTCCCTCAGATACTTGCTTCAAAAGTGGGCTCTTTCCCCTTGCCCACACCTAGGGCTGGCTTCCCAGCAACTCTGTTGAAAACTAGGGGTGGAAACTAACTGGAAACAGAATGAGAAGTTGATCAGTCCACTTTGGTTGTTTAAATGAAGGACACGTCAGCAAGAATAGTTGACATTTATATTTATTAGTGAAGGGAATTCAAGTAAGTGCACAATGTCTGGGCTTTGGATATTTATTTTGTAGTTTTGAATGGAATTTCTCTGTTTACCCTAGGGGAGAATTTGTGCCTATGTACTTATTGAGTCTGCTGCTGTGAGCCCCACACACAATGCTTGGCTGGGCATAGAGCAGAGGAGTAGGTCACACAGATTCATAGGATTTGAACTGCTTTTCTTTTTCCCTGTGAATTAATCTTTTAAATGTCAACATTTTAAACTTGGCCTTTTCAAAAAATATGATACCATATGAACCTTACTTAATCGAAAATACATTTCTAGTTCAAAGGTTTTTGTTTTTTTCTTTCCTGAAAGTGGGAAAGGCTAACAACAACAACAAAATTTGTTAAAGGATGGACTGTGTGTGAAGGAAGCTGGTTTTTGTCAATGGGGTCTGAGCAACTTTTTTTCCTTAAGAATCTAAACTGTTGTTCCAAAGGCCATTTCTTTTTTTTTTTTACAGGTCTGGGATTTTATAATGCAGAATGTATCTTCTTCTGCCTACCCATGGGAAATTTGGAATCCTACAATTTCAATTAAGCTTTAAAGGGACAATTGTAGGTCTTTTATAGCTACATTGATTTATAGTCATTTTTATGTAGCGTTTTACAGATGACTAATTAATCTGTAATTAATTTACTGCATAGTTTTTACAACTCTTTAAGACAGGAAGGTATTATTATACCCAGTTCATAGATTTGTCACTGAGACTGCAGGAGACTGAATGACTTGCATGAAGTCTTCCAGCTTGTTAATGGCACATGAGAATTCATGCCAGGGGAGCCTTGATTACCTACAGTGCTATATTCTCTCTATAATGAATGACCTGGAAGTGCAGAAAGGTGAGTTAGAATACCAGGACCGCCACTTACTAGCTGTGTTAACCTTGAACAAGTGATGACATCTTTTTTGACTTCATCTTCTTCCTCTGTAAAGTGGGAGAAGATTGCCTACTCCTCTCTCCAGACTAGACTAAGAATCTGTGAAGAATAACATGAGATCATTTTGATAGCTTGAAATGCTAAAGCATAAAAGAATTAACCATTATTATCTCAGATAATAATAGGGCTGCGTACAGTGTCCTATCAGATATCAGGCAAAGTGTCTTCCGTCCTTCCTATGATACAATTAGGGAACAAGAAATAACGAGGGGTATTCAGGTTGAGGGGTGGTCTTGAAGACACAGGAAGTGGAGTGGTCCATTACCATGTCAGTCAGGTAGGCTAAAATTTTTGGGTTTTTGTTTGTTTGTTTCTTTGTTTCTGAGACGGAGTCTCACTCCATCATCAGGCTGGAGTGCAGTGGCATGATCTTGGCACACTGCAACCTCTGCCTGCCAGATTCAAGCAATTCTCCCGCCTCAGCCCCCCCGAGTAGCTGGGACTATAGGCGTGCGCCACCACGCCCAGCTAATTTTTGTATTTTTAGTAGAGACGGGGTTTCACCATGTTGGCCAGGATGGTCTTGATCTCTTGACCTTGTGATCTGCCTGCCTCAGCCTCCCAAAGTGCTGGGATTACAGGCATGAGCCACTGTGCCTGACCCAGGTAAGCTAAATTTTTAAAGTTGTGTGTGTACACCTTTTATCCTTGTGGATGCTAAGACTATTACCAAAGCCTTTGGAGGAATTGAATATCACATTGCAGCTGATAATCAAGCACTATTAATTTTCAAACCCCTGAAACTTACAGTAGTTGGTGTCCTTCAGATTTGGAGTGTATCCATCGTAGCAAACTCTTGCCTGCCAGGGAATGTCACAGGGATTCTGTCAAAGGCAGGCAGATGCTCCTAGCTGTAGGAGTGAGCCAGGGCTGCCATCATGCCTGAGCCAGGGACTAGGACAAGCCGTAGTCCCCAGTCCCCTAGGCAGGAGCAGCCGAATACTAACTCATTTCCTCTGATGTTGGGTTGTTTTTCAGGGTGATGTTCAGCGGACACTCATCCAAGTGGACTTTGGCGATGGTATCGCGGTGTCTTACGTCAATCTCAGCTCCATGGAAGATGGGATCAAACACGTCTATCAGAACGTGGGCATTTTCCGTGTGACCGTGCAGGTGGACAACAGTCTGGGTTCTGACAGCGCCGTCCTGTACTTACATGTAACTTGTATGTTATTACTGTTGTTGGTTTATGACCTATCTTAAATATTGTGTCCTTTTCAAATTGAATTCACAATTTTATATCTAGAAGAAGTACACTAGTTATCTTTTAGCAGAAGGGGAATGGGGAAGAAATGATTAAGAGACCAAAATAAGGAAAGAGTGAGAAGAAAATCAAAGAGTAGAATTTGATTAATCCTGGACTCTCTGGATTGCTTCAAATTCTCATTGCATTTCCTCTGCTTACCCCGGGTGCCTTGAAGATATGACACTTGAATCTGGAGGCTGAGCCTAAGTAACTTGCAGAGCTATTTGGTTGAAACAAAGAAATTTGGTTTTGCTGGGGTCAGAAATTGTTGAAAACAATCCACATGCACCACTCAATCTAATGCATTGAGAATTAGCCCAAGTAAAGAAATTTCTCCCCATCTGATTATTTCTGTCTTCTCATAATATGTTGCTATTAATAATCCTTTTAGGGTTTTGCTCCTTTTTCCTGGGCTTCTATCTGTGGATGACTTGGTGTTAGAGAGAAGGTGGTGTAGAGAGAAAGAGTATAAAAACAGTGTTAAGGAAACTGTGGTAGGAAACAGTTCCAAGAAATGCTAAAGCTTTTCCCTCATTGGGGATTCTAAAGATGTGAGTAAGTATGATGAGACAATAATAACTTCTAAGTTATGTGTGCTTAAAACATGTGTCATTAACATGTTAGGTGTAAGGGGTTTCCCAGTCATAGGACTTGTGTTGGTTACTAAAGAAATTGTTTCCTTTAAATGAAAGCAGCTCCTTTATATGAATGGTCTTGTTCAAATATCAAGTTTTAGTCCAAGAGCCTCAAGGCCAGCCATTATTACTCCATGCCTCTCCTCTGCACCTTGCCCATGGAACAAAATTGAATACAGAAAGTATCAATTAGAACATTTTCTTTTTTAGCTGCTGTGGTCCAGTGAGAGGGCAAGACTATTAGGGGATGACAAAAAGGTGTTTTGGTTGTTGAGTCTTCCTAACATGTCAGTAATTCTGATCTCTGTCTCCTGTACTCTCATGGCAGAGGTGCTTCAAAGAAACATGCACTCCTTTATTTGGGTCTGACAAAGTTACACATGATTCTCAGTATGCCAACTCAATCTGCCTATTTTTGGCTATAGTTTACAGTGTGTTCCAGACTTTGTGCTAAACAGGCTCTTAATATATGTTATCTCACTTCTCAAAACAGTCCCTTGAAGTAGGCACTATTAGTAACCCTATTTACAAAAAGTGTTGAGGTTCAGAGAGCTTAAGTTACTTGTTTGAAGTGGCCCACCTACTACCTAGCAGAACCATGCTTCAGACTCAGGTCCACCTGCCGCAAGGATCCTAGCTCTTGATAACTAAGGTCAGTGTCAGTGCCAAGAGCGGCTTGGGATTGGAGGAGCTGTCTCCATTAGCTTTTACTATCTACTCCCTACTCTTTACAGATCATCTTGAAGAAACATAAACATTTTGGTTAGAAGCAGTGTGCTTGTTACACAACTACATAGTTCAGTACTCATCACGGGGGCTCCTGTCCATCTAACTGCCATCCCTAACTCGTCCTATATAGACTTTCAGGACTTTCCACTTACTAAGACATAACACCTCCCTATATGTTAGTATGTAGGGAAATGATAGCAATGGTATCATAGAAATGATCATACTAAAATCTTTAACAATACGTCACAAACATTAATGATTAGTAGCAAAAATAACTTGCAATAAAAATGACAGCACATTTGCCAAGAATGGCTCCTACCTAGACCATATTATTATCTCATAGCTTATTCTATAAGGGGTGATTTTGCTAGAGAGCTAGCTTCCTTACAAATTATAATTGTGTTCCATATACCACAAATTTGTTATACATCTACCGTAGTCCAATCACATGTAAATACTGATTTAAAAGCCAGTATCAGCTTCTGATCTAAATTTTTCAGGGTCTCCCATTAAATCTTCCATAGCTTCACCTCCTTGTCACTCTGTAGGTTTTTTTCTCATTCCTGTGTGTGTGATCATACCCCTTGAGGTGTCTACTGCTCCCCTGCAAAACTCCTCCCTAGTTAACGAAATCCTGGAGAGGAAAACAACACACACAGAGATTGTCTCTGCTTAAGATTAAGGGCTGCGGAAACCCTTCTAAAAGAAACCAGTTTCTTCATTCATTTGCAATTCTTTCATTTCATTAGCCTAGTTGATTGGACCAAATATTTGACCTTAACCTTAGAGGAAGATAATTTGTAATGGAATGTTTCGTGTTCTGATTTTAATTTTGTAGACTCATCTTGGGTTAAGTGGTTGGATAAGCATGCCTCATATAATGGAACTTCTTTCTAAGCCTGGCTTTTTGGTACTAACTGTGTTAAAAGCAAGTTCATGTTTGAAGCTGTTTGCTAACTCACATACATATAAACTCATATAACTGTTTCAGCAGATTCTGACATGTTTGGTTAGTGCCTCCCTCCTAAAGATCCAGGGTGCTTTGCTATGCCCACAAACTCTTTTTGCTCATCTTCACATCTATACCATAACAGACTTCTGGCCTTTTCTTTCAGATGGAGAAATCAAGGATTGGAGAAGCACTGTGACTCTGGCATCACTTTATGCTCAAAGCAAGTCAGAACAAGAACATAACCGAGTCACACTCTCAGGCATCTTAAAGATGGAGGGTGTCATGAGTGACTGTGGATGCCAAAGTGCCATGATATGGCAGTGAGAGGTGGCTTTATAGGGGAAAGAAAAGCACTGGACTGAGTCGGGCATTCTGACTAGGTCCAGATTTTGGTTCAAACTCCTGGGGAAGTCACTCCATCTCTCTGAGCCTTGATTTTCTCCTCTGTCAAGTAGATGCACATCTCGTTCCCAAAAGTCCCATCAAGCAAAATATATGGTACCCTGGCACCTAGTAAAACTTGATTTTTCTATCATGAGGAAGAGGAGAATTAGCAGCAACTCTTAGCTCACCAAGCCTGTCCTCTGCCCCTCCCCAGTTCCTACCCTCAGGGGCAATCTTGAAAGCCCATTGCCTGTCTCACATACACATTCCGACCACTCTCCAGTGCAGAAAAGTGATTTGATTCCAAACCAGAGGGTTTGAAAAAAAAAGATGGGTTTGCAAAGGTCATCTGAAACAAATGGAGCCGATGTTCCTGCATAGTGTTTCTGGGAGTGGGCCGGTCTTGCTGGGCGCCTGGTAATCTCCTGTAGCCTGACAGTTGGTAATTCCTTGGGGATAGTATTCACTGTGCTCTGCTAGTTTGCAAACTAATGAGACACGTGCTGCAGCCAGTGTTGCCTTCAGTCGGATGGGGCAGAGGTTTTAGAGAGCATGCAGATTTCTGCTCAGAAAGCTGCCTTGTCGCAGCCAGTCTTGCAGAAAAAAAAAAATCACTGAAGACTGCAAACTTGCAGAACAGAAATTGGGGACAAAAAAAAGATAAGGTGGATCTTGTAGTCCTTCCTAAACTGCTTCCCTTATCTGTTCCCTTATATAGGAGCCATGTGCAGATGACTTTCTGGCCCCATCTTAGAGTAAAATGATCTGTGTAGCTTGAAAACCCACGTAGTTTTTCGACCATTCACACCATCATTTTATTGACCAGCAAACGTCAGACTAGAATTTTGTAAAGTGTGGCTTAATGAGCCACCTGCCCCCAAATTAAATGATAAAAATGTGGTGTTCTGGGTCTTATCCCAGACCCACTGAATTAGGATTCCTGGAAGTATGGCATCATAATCTGCTTTGAAGAGATTAGTATGATTTTAACGTACAGTGAAATTTGAGAAACTCTGTTTTAGGATCTCAGCTTAATAGTTTGAATCATTCTTATTTCTTCTAGTAGCTTTTTTAAACATTGCAGACAAATAGCAATATGATATGTGCACAATATTTAGGTGGCCAAAGGTCTCCACATCATAAATGCTGCAGGCAGGCCAGAGCAGCCAGTGTACACACACACACACACACACACACACACACACACACACACACACACAGAATCACACAATGTGCAGCCTCACGGGCGTCAGTTGTTTCCTGCAGCACAGGAGGGCTATAAACAAGAAAAGAGAGGGGAAACCCAGTTCACACAATTCCCCATTTCTCTCAACCACCTTTCCAGGAAGATTCATATGGAATGATGCAGCGCCACCTACTGTCCCTTTTGTGCATTGCAGGCACCTGTCTGATGGAGCCGCATCTGCCAGTTCAGCATCCTACTTAACGCAGCCAGCCAGCTGGGGGCCTCCAGGGTCTGGAGTTTCACCTCTGTGGCTCCATAGGGCATACTGCACCCTCTGTGATTAACAGAGATGGTCAAAGAATAGGCTTTTGGATAGCAGGAACCAGGTATTTTAAACCCGTGAAAAGTAAATGAATAAAAGAGGCTGTGGAAATCTGAAAGATAAATTTAATATGTGTATGCATATATAATGTATATGCATGTATGCGTGAACTTATACAAACACATATGTATTTCAGGGCCTACAAGGCCAACGTACTATGTGTCTTGAATTTCTCTTAGAAAATTCATCATTGGCCCGGCATGGTGGCTCATGCCTGTAATCCCAGCACTTTGGGAGGCTGAGTCAGGCAGATCACCTGAGATTGGAAATTCGAGACCAGCCTGGCCAACATGGTGAAACCCTGTCTCTACTAAAAATACAGAAATTAGCTGGGCATGATAGCAGGCGCCTGTAATCCCAGCTACTCATGAGGATGAAGCAGGGGTATCACTTGAACCCAGGAGGCAGAGGTTGCAACAAGCCAAGATCGTGCCACTGCACTCCAGTCTGGGTGACAGAGCGAAACTCCGTCTCAAAAAAAAAAAAAAAAAAAAAAAAAAAAAAAATCGTCATTGACCAAAACGTGATTATGTGAAAATAAATGAAAAAATAATAAGACAATTTCTCAAACATGGCAGGCATCCCTCTTCCTCGTGGTCTTTTCACTTACTCTACCCTCACCCTGGAGCTTTCAAAATTGATACTTGGTGCTGTCTTTCACTTTATTCAGGTTGCTGCTCAAATGCCATTTCTTCTGAGAGGTCTTCCATCATCACACTTTCAAAAATAGCACTCTGTCACCGACTTCTGCTTTATGCATTCAGCACCCTCCTTCCTCAGAAATACCTAAGCTCCACCAAATGCCAGGTATCCCCAGCACCTAGAATAATACCCAACAGATCACAGGACTCAAAAACTATTGAGTGAGGGTTGGGCGCAGTGACTCACGCCTGTAGTCCCAGCACTTTGGGGGGGCCGAGGTGGGTGGATCACTTGAGGTCAGGAGTTCGAGACCAGCCTGGCCAACATGGTGAAAGTCCGTACCTACTAAAAATACAAAAATTAGCCGGATGTCGAAAATTAGCCAGATTTGGTGGCACGCCCCTGTAATCCCAACTACTTGGGATGCTGGGGCAGGAGAACTGCTTGAACCCGAGAGGTGGAGGTTGCAGTGAGCTGAGATCATGCCACTGCACTCCAGCCTGGGCAGCAGAGGGAGACTCTGTCTCAAAAAATAAAAAAATAAATAAAAATAAAAAAACTGAGTGAATGAATTACCATGTTTTACTAACAAGATTCGAATTTTTCATTGAGACAATGACATATAGGCATTGTTCTTACGCTGGTTTATGACTTTTAAAAAATGCTCAGCCGGGCGTGGTGGCTCACGCCTGTAATCCCAACACTTTGGGAGGCCGAGGCGGGCGGATCACAAGGTCAGGAGTTCGAGACCAGCCTGGCCAACATGGTGAAACCCTGTCTCTACTAAAAATCAAAAATTAGCCAGGCATGGTGGTGTGTGTCTGTAGTCCCAGCTAGCTACTCGGGAGACTGAGGCAGGAGGATTGCTTGAACCTGGGAGGCAGAGGTTGCAATGCTCCGAGATCGTGCCGCTGCACTCCAGCCTGAGCGACAGAGTGAGACTCTGTCTCAAAAAAAAAAAAAAAAAGCTCACATATGAGAGACAAAATGAACCTCTTTAGAATGGAACTAGCATTTCTAGCATAGTTTATCTAGTCATTGTATTCTAATGTATTCATTTAACGCAGATTGAGGGACTCAGGAAGAATGTCACAGAGGAGGGGATGCTGGAACTGAGATTTGAAGACTGACAGGTGCCATAAGAAAGGTGTGTAGAAGCAAAGGCCCTGGGGTGGACCAGGACATGGCTTGCTGGAACAAACCATTTGATAGGGAAATGGCAAGACTTGTGCAATAAATGAAACCAGGTGGAAAGTGCATTTTCCAATGCCTGGGACATATTTACCTGATGAGGAGGCAGCAACTCTTAATAGCTATTTTGTTTGACTGGAAAGGTTCTTTCAAACACTTCCATCTGCTCAGAACAAGGGCTCTGAAACCAAACTGCTTTCCTAGCTGTATGACCTGGGGAAAGTCACGTTACTTTGTTCATCTCTAAACGGGGAGGATATTAGTGCCTACTTCATAAGATTGTTTTGTGAGGATAAAATAAGAAAAACAGAGTCGTTAGCAGAACATTTAGTTGTAGTCATCGCTCAGTAAATGTTACCCTTTTATTATTTCATTGAACTGCTCTGGCTTATAATCAACTGCTTCTCAACATATGCTTTATAGGCCAGAAGATCAGTTTGATTCTGTATGCTGATCACCAGACTTTTCATTCTCTAAAGAGGGAGTAGCATGCACAAAGACGGACATGGGAAGTTATATCATTTGTTTTACCCAGTGAATACTTGAGCATCTATAATGTCTTAGAAACTCTGCTAGTCTTTGTGTATGAAGATAAATATGAAGAATTCTTACCCTCAAGAAGTTTTCAGCCTCTGTCTTCTGTCTCACAAATTTTAAATCAATGTGTGTTAGCTATCATTATTATCATAATTGGATCATGGGAATCTTTTTTTTTTTTTTTTTTTTTTTTCGAGATGGAATCTTGCTCTGTCACCAGGCTGGAGTGCAGTGGTGTGATCTTGGCTCACCGTAACCTCTGCTTCCCGGATTCAAGCAATTCTCCTGCCTCAGCCTCCTGAGTAGCTGGGACTACAGGTGCATGCCACCATGCCCAGCTAATTTTTGCATTTATAGTAGAGATGGGGTTTCACCATGTTGGCCAGGATGGTTTCGATCTCTTGACCTCATGATCCACCCAACTCGGCCTCCAAAAGTGTCGGGATTACAGGCATGAGCCACCACACCACATCACATTCCCAATCACGGGAATCTTAATTTTGAACAAGTATGAGTAACATGATCAGCTTCGCTTTCTAGAAAAATTACTGTTGCAGCCATTTGGAGGATGGATTCGGGTGGTGAAAGGTTACAGGCAGGAAAATCTGGAAGATAAGTGAGAACGTGCTTAGAGTATGAACCAGGGCGCCAGATTAGGGAGGGTGAGCTAAATATCTTAGAGAGATTTATGAAACCAAATCGTCAGTTTCCTAAATGGATGTGAATAACAAAAAAGAAATTGAAATTGACTTTCTGTTTCTGGAGTGGGCTCCTGGATGAATATGAGTGTTAATCACCAAACTGTAGAGAATACAGGAGAGGGAAATAACAGGGTCCTTGAGAACATTTGATTGCTGGAGGCAAAGAAGTCTAGACCCCCCCAGAAGGAGTCTAGAGCCCAGAAAGGGGTGTTAGAGCCCTTCACATGCATTTGATATTTGAAGGTTAAGGTGTGGATGGTGTTGCCTAGTAGAAAAGTCTGTAGAGAGTGAAAAAGTCTCAACACAGGACTCTGGGAAACACATTTACAGGGCAAGCAGAAGAGGAGGTAATAAACCAGGTGAATAGACCCAAGGTATTGCTCTCTCCTCTACCTCATGGGACAAAGATGGGGATGGCAAATGCATAGGAAGCTGCATTTTGCCTGGAAACAGTGACTCAAAGAGAAGATTGAGGGTTGAAGGAAAGGTCCTAGTGGTTCTTTATGAAGAGGGCATTCATATCTTTGTGAGGTTGGTACATCTAATTAAGGTTTCCAGTTTTTATAGGCCTCTGTAGATAAAATCATTCTATATTTTAGGTGAGCATCTTCTGAGAACCACAGAGCTCTCTATCTACTTACACACACACCTCTGTCCTGAATTAACTTAATTCAACCCCAAACACAGTGTGTGTGCCATGCTTACCTAACTAGACAGCTTTGCAGACACATGCACGAACACATTCACACATACACAGACCTTTAAAACCCAATAAATAATAAAGGGTAATGACATAGAGAGTGGTTTGAAGATTTGTCCATTCACCCTTCATCAATATGGATTCTATGAGGTCTTCATGACTCTGGTTCACCACCAGGGATACAACCTCTTGGAAAGACTGCATTGCCTTGTGAAATCCCAAATGATGCCTGTTCTTAAGGACTTCATAAGTTACCTGTAATTTTTTTTTAACTTTTACACACACCTAACTCAGGTGTTAGAACTGGTAGAAAGATTGGTAAGTGCAAAATGTCAAGATGCAATTGTGCTCAATGTATTCTTTCTCCAAAGTGGGGAAAGCATCTGAACACTTCTTTTGGGGAATATGGCAGCCAGGTTTTGGGGGCTTCAAGAGTAAATGTGTGATCTCTTCAGAGCAGGGAGGACAGAGCAGAGGAAGCTCTTCCCCATCCATGGCCTCTCTTTCTCTTGTGCCTCAGGTCCCTTGGAGCACGTGCACCTGTCTCTTCCCTTTGTCACCACAAAGAACAAAGAGGTCAATGCGACGGCAGTGCTGTGGCCCAGCCAAGTGGGCACCCTCACTTACGTGTGGTGGTACGGAAACAACACGGAGGTGGGTTCACCTTCCACATGCGATCTAGGGACAGAAGCTCAATTCACGCTGCCTGAAGCAAAGGAGGGAATGAAATGGCTTATGAACCCTAGAGTGTAGAAGCAGTTGTAGCTTCAAGGACAACAAGCTCCCTTGGTGCTCAAGTATCTCATCATTATGTTCTCTCTCTCTCTCTCTCTGGCCCCTCTCCACCTTCTGCATTTCATCTCTGCCTTCCTCTATGTTTACGTTTTTCTCCAGCTGTACTTGTCTTTGTAGTGACTCTTAGCAGCCCTAGCTTAGCAGAGAAATTAAACTCTATTTCCTGAAAGTTCTAACAACAGTCCTGAAATTGAGTCTTACTGGCCAGGCCTTGATCACAGTGCTGGGGGTAGAGAGGGAGGTGAAGAAGTCAGTCTCCTCGGAACCACGTGAACTACAGAAGGGGAGAAGTGATTACCAAAAGAAAACGAAGCAACTGGATGCAACTGGACAGGCGCAAGCAATAGATTTCCATTACAACCCACCCCCAATGGCCTTCTTACCCTAAATCAAAACTCTTATTTATTTAGGTCAGCTTTAACTTTTATATGTTTTTCCAAATATTCCCTATGCTCAAAAGTCAGTGGCAATTTTAAATCTAGTAGAGACCTAACACCTTGTTTACTCTAAGTCTTTCATTTTGCACATGAGAAAAGTGAGGGTGGTGCAGCTGGAGTGGTTTGCTTTGATCTCTTCCAGCTGCTTCATAAGAGGCCAAATTTAAGGCCTTCTGATGCCTCCACTAATGTTTCTTTCCTCTACACCAGGCTGCATGGTCTATTTCAGTTTTGAACTCATTCCATTCTCAGAAATTAAAGTGCTTCCAAATGTAAGTTAGGCAATAGAGCTGAGGCCCCAAAGGACACTGGGATGAACTGCTCTGGACTGAAACACTCCATCTTCTTCCATCAGAGCTGCTTTCACTTGGTGACTTTGCTCTTCAAATACGATGTCTCTTATTTTAATAAAAACATTTTTCTGCTCTGGAGCTGAAACTTGGCTTTAGCTGGAGATATAATTTTGCACAGGCCCAGGACAAACCTAAACAGTGGAAAGAACCTCTCACCTCTACTGCAACCATAACTAAACTGAAAAGAGACCCTTTTTAATTTCACCTGAAACTATGTGTGTGAACTCAGCCCATAGTGGGCCCTCTATCCATAGCGGAAGAGCAGGAATCTATGTCATTTCCCTGAAAACTAGTACTAAAAGGTGAATGTACTGAACAACTTCCTTTTGTACCCCCTATTGTTTTTTATTTTTTTTATTTTTCCTTTTAAAAGAAAACCAGATTCTCAAGAGACCCCATTGAAAAGGCTTCTCATGCTGGGCGTTAGTCTTCTTTCTGCCATACAGGGAATTAAATGAATTTTGATTTTTAAATTAATTAAGAAAAGATGGGAAATAAATGTTTGTGAGGAGTGTGTCAAGGGAGGTCAGTAGGCTAATATTTTTTCCTCTAGGACCCTAGCAGTCGATTGTATTGCAGGCACCACGCCAAATTTTTTTTTCTTTTTTTTCTGTTTTGAATCCTCAAACCACTATCCAATTAGTGCTTGTTTCCACAGCAGCTACTTCCAGGAAACTGCTGATGAGGCTTCTCAAAGCGGGCCAGCACACAAGGCCACTGCTGTTTAACTAGTGTATGGTTTTGGTGTACCGGATTCATGTTCCATTGTAATTCTACAGAAATCGTACACCCTGGAGATGAACACATGGCAGCTTATAGATTTTCAGTGACTGCTGCTTCCATCTGGATTAATATGAGCCCCCGTTCTCATTTGCTTTGATCATTTCCTTGTATTAGGGATCTGCTTGATATGAGTAGGTCATGCATAAAGAGAGACATACATTCCACCAGCAAGCAAGACCTATCCATCTCCCCAGCCCTGAATCAGGATGATATCAGGAATTCACAATGAATAGGCAGACTTGCTTGGAGTCATTGCTCCAATAGCCTCTTTTCTGCTTTGGGCTTGAGATGATAGGGAGGCATAGAGGGACTCAGTGCCATTGTGGTACATCAGGAAGAGCCTCTGCTGGGTTAGACAGCCTATTGTTGGCTCACAGTTAGTGGCTGTGTCACCTGTAACTAAAGAGCTTTCCCTTCACTCTGGGCCCTTGTTTATTTTAGCCTTTGATCACCTTGGAGGGAAGCATATCCTTCAGATTTACTTCAGAAGGAATGAATACCATCACAGTGCAGGTCTCAGCTGGGAATGCCATCCTACAAGACACAAAGACCATCGCAGTATATGGTGAGTGCCCATCTCAGTGGATCTACTGCTGTCTTCATGCTCAGAGGAGGTTCTCTTGTGCCATGATGCCAGAGACCATCCCCCAGCTGTGACTTTTACCTGGAGAACGGAGGGCAGTAGTTGAGAAAGAGCTGAGGCGAGTCTCATCTTCTCCTGTAGGGAAATTTGAATCACTGGTAAAACAGCGTCACGGGATCCAGAAAGGGTTTTCTTAGAGGTAGAGTGACTATTCACTCACTCATAGTGTAAAGTGGATTTTAGGATGTGTAAGGCTAACTCATTTCACTTAGATTGTTAGTAATATTTGAATACCAGTTACAAAATAAAATAGCTAATGTTGAATCTCTTTTTTTTAAGTTCAACTTTAAAATTCTTGACTAATAAGGGAAATCTGCCATTGTCTAAATACTTTAAAAACCTCTTCCACAAATCTGTATCATAAAAAAAATTATCTGCTAGATTGAGAGTGATGGAAGGGTCATAACAATTAGATGTCGTACATAGCCATAGACGGGATATTTGAACAAATGGCTAATTTTGTGATCAGTTGGGGAAATTGAATATGGTCACAGGATTAGATGGAATGAATGTGTACTGAAATGAAAAGATGGAGTCATTGATTGAAAACTGGAAATAAAAAAAATACTTGATGGATTGATTTCATTTTGGTAAATCTTTTTCTGCATAGAAAGATAGTCATATGGATATGCACTAAGTGTTACTAGTACATGGCAAAAATGTTTATTATTAATATGGAAATGGTACATATGAATCCTGAAAAATTAGCTTTTGAAATATAAGAAGTGGAAATTAGATAGGAGAAGGAAATGCTGTGCAGAGAGAGGAGGAGGCAGAAGGAGGGAGGAAGGAAGGAGGATGAGAAAGAGAGCAAGAGAGGCTGGGTGCGGCGGCTCACTTCTGTAATCGCAGCACTGGGAGGCCGAGGCGGGTGGGTCACCTGAGGTCAGGAGTTCGAGACCAGCCTGACCAACATGGTGAAACCCCATCTCTACTAAAAATATAAAATTTAGCCAGGCATGGTGGAACATGCCTGTAATCCCAGCTACTCAGGAGGCTGAGGCAGGAGAATCGCTTGAACCCAGGAGGCAGAGGCTGCACTGAACCAAGATCGCGCCATTGCACTCTTGCCTGGGCAACAAGAGAGAAACTCCATCTCGAAAGAAAAAAAAAAAAAAGAAAGAGCAAGAGAGAGACAGACAGCCTAGCTCGTGGTCCAAATAATGTCAATTGCCCAGTTCCCTTATCAGTTGATTTTGATGAGATAATTTGGGGCTGGATTTTCCTGTGAGGAGTCAGGTTCTGTTAATGCTCATCTTGCCAACTTGACCTTCAAAATCAGAAAATAATTTGTAAGCAACTTTGAACACATCTAAGGATCAAAAGGCCTTAAGGACACTATTCCTTTCATGGCTGGGTGTTAGATTTTATAATTTCTTCTCTCTCCCTTCCTCCTGAAAGGCTTGATCAGCCCAGATAATAAGAAATAAACCAGGGCTGTGATTTTCCTACCAATGTCCCATTAGCAAGGTACGAGGTGGCCAAACAGTGGCTGTGTATAGAGTGCGGCAAAGTCTGCCTCTCTTCCCTTCTCCATCTCCTTTCTGGGTGCTGGGAATGCATTTATTCTTCATAACAACCCTAGTGTAAAGCAGGTGATATTATGATCCCCATTTTTTTCAGAGTGATGAATAACTTGCCCCAGCTAGCAAGTGGTGCAGCTGGGTTTGCAACCCAACCCATCTAGACTCAGGGCCCATGCACTGAAACTATCCTACTTAACTGATTCTCATTTATTTTCACTGGATTTTTTTTTCCTTTCTCTCCCTCTTGGATGTCACAGGTTGCACTAATGGGCACTGACCTATTAGCCCAACAGATGTCCTCTTGGTTATGCATGTTGGTGATGTCATTAGAATCATGAAGAAAACCTTAAATCTTGGCCTTATCTGGTCCAGCCCATCATTTTATAGATAGGAAATTATGGCCCAGACATAGGGAATTACTGGCTTAAAGTCATTCTGCTGATTGGTGACAAATATGATCATAACGATGGTGGTGGTGATAGTAATTGACATTGATGAAGACTTTGCTAGCCACTGGCATCTGTTCTAAGCATTTGGTTTGATCTGCTTTATTAAATCTGCTCAGATTTATGAGAAATATTCTATAATTATGCATTTTACGGATGAGAAAACATGAGACAAGTATAATAAACGAGCTAAGAATTCTGAATCCAGAGGGTATGTTTGTAAGCACCTCCCATGCCTTGCTATGCTTGCTTCTTCCTCTTTCTACAATTTCTTTACAGGTATCACCCAAGGGTGAATCACTCTTTATAAAAATAGGTTATCATATGTCTCTTCGTTAAGAGATTTGGCAAGGTTCTCCTCCTCTTCTAACCAAATTCCTGCACCATCGGCCACCCTTAATTTGTCTTTGGTCAGTTGAGTTATCCAGAGATTCATATACATAATCGGAAAGTTATGGGGTCTCCCTATGTTGCCCAGGCTGGTCTCAGACTCCTGGCCTCAAGCGATCCTCCCTCCTCAGCCTCCCAAAGTACTGAGATTACAGGCATGAGTAACCACACCTGGTTCCATGATCAGACAGTTTTAATGACAGGTGTGACTCCTTAAACAAAAGTTGGAGCAGGCAAAGTTAAACAGGAAAGATTGAACCCAGCTGAAAGAAAAAGCAGGAAGATTTGTAAACGCTGGGGTTAGCTAGTGGGAAAATACTGGAGAACTTTAGGAAGCACGTGGGTTTCCAGTGTGATTAGACCATCTGTGTGAGTTAATCACTGCTTAGGGAAGTCAGTCTCCTACTCTCCCGCAGAGACTGGGAGATAGGGAGGGGTGCTATCTTTCTTGATGATTACATTTCAAAGGAATGGCTCCCAGGTCCTTGAGAAAGACATTCATGAGTTGTAGAAGTTTTACATCTCAAGGGACAGAGAAGGAATTTACAATTGTAAGTTTTCCAGAATACTCTAAGAAAAGCAAGTCCAGGAGCTTACAGTCAGGAAGAAACAGAAACTTGTTTGAAATTTAGTGAGATTGATGGGAACATGAAGTCCTATTGTCATGATGGGACTGAAAAAAGCATCACATTTGGGAAATTGACAGGGGAAGGTTTGTCTACTCAAAGCCACACAATCAATTAAAAGAAAGAAAATCTAGTTTGCATTGTTTCTTCTAATTTGCTCCAGGGCACAAGTTTGCTTGTAAATAAAAATACGCAAGTGTATAGACTTTATCTCTCTCAACAGCTGCAAAAAATATTATATTATTGGTGTTTACCCTTTTCAGTCCGCCCACACGCATCCCCTATTTCTTGAATCAACTTAAGTACGTTTCCCTGCCATTCTGCCTCCCTGCCATGCTGGTTAGTATGCTAAGTAATTACGGAGGGAGCTGCATCATTTTCTCATTTGTGTCCTTTTACTAAGATAAACATTCTCCCTTGTGGATGAAGTCTCTGCAGTTTGGTAAGAGGTACGGAGAAAGTGAGAATGACATAAACTTAAATCTTCATAGCAAGAAGTGAGGACTTAATGGGTGATTCTTTGGCACTGCTGTTTACCACACTATTTAGTTAACGTGCATTTCATTGTTCCCCATCAGGTAATATTCACATAGGTGACCAGTGACTCATAAAATAGTCAAGCTTTGAACAATACCTCTTTGGAATATATTAACTGCCACGAAAACATACCTTATAAAGTCAGAGTCTTCGAAACATGTGTTTGATAACTCCTTAGCATTGTTAGGAAATGTACAAGTGAACTTTTGTGCTTCCTGAATGTAAATTGGCATCCCCAATGTCGCTTGGACCCTAATGAAACAAAAGGGCATGCTTAACATAAAAAATGTTTATTAAATAAATAAATGCATAAATTTCGAGAAGGCTACACCATAAGTTAAGCATACATTTATTCAACAAATGTTTATTAATTATAAATGACTCATAGATAGTAACTGAAAACCTACTGTGTGCTAGACAAGGGCCAGGAACACAGAGCCATCATCCTGATTGAGGTTATATTCCAGTTTGAAGGACATATCAATGAAAACAAAATAATTTAAATAGCGCTGAGTGTGAAAAAGAGACAAAGGGTCCAGTGATGAAGGGTGCATGGGATGGTGGAAGGGAGGCTACCTGAGGTTGGGTGGTTGGAAAGGCCTCTCGGGGTGAGACTGAATGATGAGAGGGGAGTTTGCTACAGTCCAGTGAAGTGGAGAGAGCTGGTATGGACAGAGCCAGCAGGATTGAGGAGCACAGGGAAGTACAGGTCCTGGAGCACAGAGAGGGCAGGAAAGCCAGGTAGGACAGGACAAAGGAAGTCCCCACCAGGTTATGTAGGGCCAGGAAGGCTGTGGTAAGAATCTAAATTTTATACTAAATGCAATGTGGAGGCACTGGCAGGTTTTAGGGGAGCCATATGATCTGAGTCTATTATGTGCCAAACACTATGCTGGGTAAGGAGTGTTGAAGCCACAAGAATGGGCTTCACAGACCTCCAACTCCAGAGAGTGTAACTGACCAAGGCCACCAGTGCTGTGCTCTGAAGCTTATCACCAAGCTAGGGCTAGGGCTCCACCTTCCAGGGACTTACCCTGCCAATGACAGAGTATAGCAGGGATACTAAGGCTGAACCATTCCTGGAACGCAGGGGACTCCTCTGCCAGCGACTTTGGCTCCAAGACTCCTGAACAGGCTTACTGAACCTTCCTCAGACTGCAGAGTAGTCACCCACTCTTTCTTCCTCTCTTTGACTGTCCTATATGCATGCACGGTGGTCGATAGTTCTCCATGACTCCTGTGGCTTCCTGCCCACTTTCTCGCACAGAGAATTCCCCTCATATAATCCTTGCCTGTGTAATCACCATCTTGCTTCCTGGAGAACCAAACTAACTCAGGTGCTACAGAGACAATGAAGAAAATCCCTGAATAACATAAAATTCCATTAAATGAAACTTCCATGCAAACAAACGATAGCAATAGAATGATTACAGTGATAATTATAAATATCTAATCATAATAATTATTCCATAATCCTATAATAATAATAAAAAGTATGTACAAAACAGAGTAGTGCCATAAAAAAGAAAATTAAAATGTGATGGGGGAGGGTAGTGAGCCGGGGGAGGGTAGTGAGCCAGGGAGTGCTTCAACTAGAGCTTGAATATTTTGTGCATGGACAGTGGGGAGAATGGGGCGTTCTAGGCAGAAGAACGGTGTGTGCAAAGAGGCCCAGGGTCATAAACCTACCATGCATTCAGGTTGCTCCAGATCATTTACTATCCAGGAGCGCAGAACCTAGAACTAGGAATAATAGGCAAAGGCTGCAAAGATAGGCATGGAACAAAGTTAGGGGTTTGGTTTAGAAAATAAGGGGCTACGGGCTCTTAGAGCCTGCTGGCAACCTTTGGTATGCAAATGCTGGCCATTAGAAACTGGGTCCAACCAAACATGGCAATTCCCTGCCCTGTTCTTGCCCTTGCCCTCACATGTGACTGGCAACATGGCTGCCCCCACGTATCCCTCTGTGTGTAGAACAACATGGCACCCTGCATTTGCATACTAAAAGGCTAGGGTGAGAGGGCCAGTTTTTTCCCTGTCTATATCATGAATGACATGCCTGGTCAAACCAATCCCTAAGCCCTATGCAAATCAGACACTGCCTCCTCATATAACTGGATGGTATCGGTCACGCTGCGGGGGTGGGGGCGGGAGGGGGAGAAAAGGGGGAAAGGGGGAGACAGAGGAAAGGAGAAGGGGGGAAGGGGGGCCAGGGGTAGTCTGGGGGGGTGGTCTCCTCTCTCAGCTTTGTAGCCCCCTCCCTCTGTCTCTATACAGGGGAGCTTCTTCCTTCTTTCTTCTACCTTCTTTCTTGCCTATTAAACTCTCCGCTCCTTAAAACAAACAAAAAAAGAAAAGAAGGGGCTGGTGAGATATTCACAGGGTAGTGGCTTGCCTTCTAAAAAGGTCCCTATGGTAAGTGAAGGGGAAGGACCCTCCATTTTGTATAAAATATAAAGTCTAACAAACCTCTTGACAGGACTATTTGACTTATAGTACTCCATCTACTGTTATATCCCCAGAGGAATTCCGGTCTCTTCGCTTGTCCTTTTCTCCAAACCTGGATGACTACAACCCGGACATCCCTGAGTGGAGGAGGGACATCGGTCGAGTCATCAAAAAATCCCTGGTGGAAGTGAGTGCACACAGTTTCTTCTCTTGCCCGGGTACCTTTTCTCTCTGTCCTTGAAGAATTTCACAGAAAGGGGAGCTTTGTACAAAAACAAACAAACTAACCCAGCAGGAAGAAGCTAGAGCCCATGGGAAGTTCTGGCCTGATGTCTGCAAAGCTGAGCCCCACACATGCAGAGACCTCAAAGGCCCTAAAGGGGATGCAACTATGGAACCACGGACAAACATGGGGTCCTTGCCTCTTGTGACTCTTGTTCTGCTTAGAGAAGGAGGACAAGTACATCCTAAACTCCTTTGTCCACATTTCTGTAGCAGAGTTCACAATTAGGCCATTAGGAATTATAAAACCAGCTACTGTACCTGCCAGTGAAGGAACTCAGCATGTAAGTGTCCTCGGCTGACTACAATTAGTAAGAGTGGTCCCAGGTTCCAACTTCCGCAACTGTGAGCATAACAGTGCAGTGAGCATTCAGTATATGATGGTTAGTCATATTTCTATTTCCTCATTTTTTTAAAGAAATTTCTGTACTGTAACAGCCCCAAAAAGGAATTATTATCCACACTTTGTAGATGAGGCAACTGAAGTTTAGAGAGGTTAAGTAACTTGCCTAAACTCTCATATCTAATAGAGGATGGAGCTGCAAAATTGAAATTAAGGGCCTGAGTCCAATGTCTGGGCTTTTGTGTATTTGACAAAGCTTCCTAAGGTTTCTCAGAGAATAACAAGGTGGTTGTGTTTTATCCTTCCCTGAGCAAATGTCACTGGCAATTAGAGAAGACACCTTCTTTTAGGCACATCTTCCCCTCCTTGTTCTACTTTTTTTTTTTCTTTTATGAGATATAGTCTCACTCTGTCACCCAGGCTGGAGTGCAGTGACTCAATCTCATCTCACTGCTACCTCTGCCTTCCGGGTTCAAGCGATTCTCCCACCTTAGCCTCCCAAGTAGCTGGGATTACAGGTGCTTGCCACCACGCCCAGCTATTTTTTTCGTATTTTAAGTAGAGACGGGTGTCACCATGTTGGCCAGGCTGGTCTCGAACTCCTGACCTCAAGTGATTCAACTGCCCCGGCCTCCCAAAGTGTTGGGATTACAGGCGTGAGCCACTGCGTCGGCCCCTTATTCTACTTTCATGAGTGAGCAGAGGAGTGGGATAGCCGCTCATGGGGCAGCTTGAGCTTATTGTGCAAACGCGGAAAATCAGAAGTGAGTTATCCACTCCCAGGGCATATTCTTAGCTCAGAATGAAAATCAGTTTAGGTTTGCTGAACATTCTTTCCTGCTTCCAACACATGGTGCCACAGGACACAAAAAGATGATGAAATAAAGGCATTCAGATAACTCCTGATCAGAAAACAGATCTTACATCCAGCCTCTTGCAAGGAGCTGGTCTTCCCTGTCTTCATTACCTTTGTTAATATTTGGTTAGCACTTAAAATATTCTAGATACTCTTTTGAGTGCTTTGCATTATTTTAACACATTTAATCCCCCAAATAAGCTTACGATGTTGAAACCGTGATTTCAGAACTACCCATTCTGTAGGTGAAGAAATGAAACTCAGAGATATTAGGTTACTCATCCAAGGTCATGCACTTAAAGATCAGATTCTGGAGTCAAACCATCAAGGTTTGAATCTTGATTTTTGTGGTTTCCTAACCACTCCACTCTAGGGCCATCCTCTTCCTTATTCCAAGGAGAAACAGGGATAGATGGAATACTGGGGTAAAGAAGGGGTATCTTCATGTGCCTCTGAGCAATGCCACCCACCTCTGTCTCTATGGCTTTCAGCATCTGTGACATGATTGGTGGTTACACATTATCACCACCAGGAGGCACGACTACCAGACTACAACCCTAAAAGGAATAGGCCTTTCTACTCTGAGCCATCCGTCTCTAGGGTAACAACTGGTTTTTGTCCTCTGCTGTCCAAGAAGGATGACTTATGCTCTTTAACGAACCCACTGTCCATCTCTTCTCATCTGCAGCATTCTAGGGACCTGTGTCCCCATAGGTCCTCTATCTGTCCAACTCCCCCAGGTGATGTATCAACCAAGCACTAGCTCAGCAATGTCCAGCCTTCCAGGCTGATTTCTCTTCACACTTATTACTTAGAGATCAGATGCCCTGTACCTCCACCTTTCTACCAGCTGTCCATTAGGCTAGAAATTACTGCTCATCAGGATTTCTAGCCTGCTGTGTAGCATAATCAGGAATATGCAGAATAAACAGATTGACTCATTATCCCTCAGGGCAGGGTTATAGCAGTGGTGGTGGTGGTATTAATACCTTCTAGTTTTCAAGGCTCCCTAGTCACCCAATCCCAAGAAGCAGTTGATGCAGAGCTTGGTTCCTAGCAATTTGCACTGACTTTGAGATCAGTAATTGCACTTGGCCACTTTTTTAAGTCCCAAGGGACCACATTGGCAAGTGTACACTAATAAACCCTATGAGAGGTACAACTGAGAGTCAGCTTATTTGCAGTTTTCTTGCTATTCATTATGAAACAAAATTTAGTATTAAATTGTTTGCCTTTTCTTCCTCAAAATGGCTTTTGCTATTGACATTTCACAATGAAATCTTTAATTGAATGTCATTATAAACATTTTTGTGTACAATGAAGATTATTCAGGCACAATCTCTGAGTTTACAGTCTAGTAAGGGCATAAAACAGTGTGGGGTTTGCTGTAATAGGAGCTGTTGTTTGTCAGTGTCTGGAGAAGGGAGGTACAGAGCACTGGGTCCCAACACAGACTTCACAGTCAGACCAGGCTTCAAAAGCATCAGCAGTCACTTCCTAGATGGCCTTGAGCCACTGTCTAATCTTCCTACAGCCACCATCTTTCCTGGAGTGGAAATTGAGATGCACCACCCAGATCTCTGTTCAGGGAGACACTTATTGTCTTTTCTGGGAGGGCTATGGGCAGAGTCTTCACCAGCTGGGTTCCAAGTCGTGTCACTTCTTAGGGTGGCTCATGTCTGATGACAGGCTGGTGCAGTTATGTAAAGTCCTGGCCATCTCAGCCCAATTTAAGACAACTCTGAAGGGCCATTCTGTCTCCCCTCGGGGTCTCTTGAAGTTGTCATGGGCCTACATGGCAGCTCAAGTTTTCCCTTGTCCATGTTTGTTTCCTTCCCTTTGCTCCCATAGGTGTTGTTCCCAAGAGCACTTCTTAGTAAACATCCTGCATGCTAAACTCAGAGTCAGCTTCCTGAGGACCCCAGCATATGATATGTTCTCACTGCAGAGTGAGGTGTAATCATATTTGCTTCAAAGGGTTGTTGTTGGAGGTTGCCTAAAATAATATTATAAGTTACTTATAATAGTAACGTTGTTGGAGGTCACATCAAATAATATAAGTTACTTAGCACAATACACCCAGGAAGTACCTGGGATTGTGCTAAGTAACTTATAACATTAGGTGAGGACCTAATACCTGGAATTTCTTGCTACTTCAAAAAAAAATGCAGCACAGTGGAGTTCAAAAACAAATAATCACCTAATTGGGAAATAATGAAATAAATAAGCTTTAAGATGACTCATGAAGGATAAATAGCAAAGGCAGAGAAAAGACATTCTGGTGGAGATAACATGCACAGGAACATTTGCAGGAAAAAGCTGAAATATTGAGAAATTGTACATCATCCCATTTGGCAAAAGCGTAAGAGTTGTGGGTAATTAGTTTGGAAAGGAAGCATGGGACCATATTGCAGAAGGCCTTGAATATGTCCTTAATCCTGTTAGCATTGGGAATTCTTGCAAGCATTTTGGACAAGGAACATGATCAGAATTGGACTGCTGGAGAGAGAAGCTGGGATTATAGCTATTGATTCTAGAAGCATCTAGAGAGAGGATTCAGGGGAAACCCTGGGGTATAAGCTCAAGAGAGAGAACAGTGAGCTAGGATAAACAAGAAGTCCTTGAGTGATATCTGTAATTTTAACAGAAGAGTCAGTGTGGCCAAGTGGAGGGCTCAGGGTGCTTCAGGGAACAGGGCTGGTCATCAGGTCTGATGCTGCAGAAAAGTCAACAGGGGCCTCCTGAGGGTTGTGATATGGGGATGTCCTCTTAGGTTAGGTGGTTAGGATGTGGTGGGTCTATTTGAAGAGTAACTCCAGTGGGCTGACGAAGGAGGAAGCTAGGTTAGAAAGGGCTAAGGCATGAGGGGCAGATGATAAAGTGAAGGTCTTCTCACTGGCATGGTCACCACCTTGGAGATGCTCTCTAGCAAAAAGAGCTAACATTTGAATCCCCAGGCCCTACTGTAAATACTTCATGTGTAACTCATTTAATCCTCAAAATCAGCCATGAACAAGGCAAGTACTGCAACTGTCCTGTCTTCTATTTAAAGGAATGTAGGCATAGAGAACACAAGCAATGAGCTTAAGGTCTCACGGTGTTGAAGCTGGGATTAAATCACAGACAGCCTGACTCCGGAGCCTGGACCTAATAGCCCAGTGCTGTCTCTCACATACTCCCTGCCTGATATGCCCAGGCCTCTGCTTTCAGGCCCCTTGTGGTGTCTTCTGCCTACCCCTGATCCCCCCACCAAATACTTGGTCCCTTCTCAGCTTTCTTCTCTGCAGCACTAATGTGAGCCCCTGTGTCTGTCCCTCAGGCCACAGGGGTTCCAGGCCAGCACATCCTGGTGGCGGTGCTCCCTGGCTTACCCACCACTGCTGAACTCTTTGTCCTACCCTATCAGGATCCAGCTGGAGAAAACAAAAGGTCAACTGATGACCTGGAGCAGGTGAGTCCCCTGGAAAAGGAGACGTTTTCAGCTTCAACCGTTTGTGGAGTCTTCAACTTTCTAAGCCTCCATTTCTGACCCATAAACTGGTGATCCTAACTACAGCTTCACCAAAAGCACATGCAAGAGCATTCATGGTAGGTGTATTAGTCTGTTCTCACACTGCTAATAAAGACATACCCAAGACTGGGTAATTTATAAAGGGGGTTTAATTGACTTACAGTTCAGCATGGCTAGGGAGGCCTCAGGAAACTTACAATCATGGCGGAAGGGGAAGCAAACCTGTCCTTCTTCACATGGTGGCAGCAAGGAGAAGTGTAGAGTGAAGCAGGGAAAGCCCCATATAAAACCATCAGATCTTGTGAGAACTCACTATCGTGGGAACAACATGGAGGTAACTGCCCCCATGATTCAGTTACCTCCCACTGGGTCCTTCCCATGGCAAGTGGGGATTATGGGAACTGCAGTTCAAAATGAGATTTGGGTGGGAGCACAGCCAAACCATATCAGCAGGGAACGGCTAAATTATTTACAGTGTGGAATACTCTGTGGAGTTTACAATGAATTAGATTAATCTATGTATACCAACACAAAAAATTGTCCGTGATATCAAGTGGAAAAAAAAGCAAGTTGCTGAACAATATCATACTTGTCACAAGAATGCCGTGAGAAGCAAATGACATGACATGCATATCTTTTTTAACAGGTTCAACTTTTATACAAATGACTAATCCTTTGATGATCTAATTTGTGTTTGTAATGAGTAACATTAGCTCCCGAGCAACTCTACTGCCCTGTGGGGTTCACCTCCTCCTCATCTCCACTACCTTCTGGAGCATTTGAGTGTGTGTGTGTGTGTGTGTGTGTGTGTGTGTGTGTGTGTGTGTGTGTATATCTGTGTGTGTATTTGTGTGATTCTCTTTCTCTTTTCCCCTTTAGTCTTCTTTTTTCTTCCCTTTCCTCCTTTTAACTTTAAAAGACTCTCCTGTCTCTGTAGTGGGGATAATTATGTTGTTGTTATCCTTCTTTGTCCATTCAGTTAAAATGATCAGCCTTGGCCTAGTTGCACTTTTAGAAACGAAATGATTTTGATTTATCAGTTCTTCCAGGTAAATAGATTAAAAATAAGATTCCTCTCGGCCACTAAGTAAATATTGGCTGTTTCCCTTCCAGTACTTGGAGATTTTCTGTTTACTAAACCCATAATCTAGCCCCATGATCTTTAGTCTTCCAGGATGACTTGAGAAACTTCTATAATAGTCTTATTAAAAACAACCCCAAATTATGGCATGGCCCACCTCCTAGCACACACCTTCTTTTCAGCTGCCACTTTTTCACTTGGCAGAAGGCTCCCCTGTATAATTTTCTCTGTGTGCAAGTAATGAAGAGCAGAGCTCTCATGGAAAGCCCTGTTGAACCCCATTTCCTAGTGAAGTGGAGGTGAAGGGTGGGCAGCAGGTAACTCCTCAGATTTGCATCTAACCTCACTCCCCACCTCAGCTTCCCATCATACTCTACAAATTATTATCTGCACTGCATTTTGGTGGGAGAAAGAATAGATTATTTCTTATCACAACATTGTCAAGAACCCAGAGGGAAAGCAGATCCCTATCCAAAGCCTTTAGATAGGAACATTTGCAGTTGTACCTCCTCTAAATCTTACTGGTTTTTCATGAAATCCAGATTTTAATCTTTTCAAGTATGGAAGAGGGTACAGATTTAGAGTCACCTTTTTTTCCTAGTTACCACATCATCTGTGCACTTTTATTTCTCACACTTTCCATGTTTTTTTCTAAAAGTGTTGTATTTTCTACATCATTATTTGAGGGGAAATTTGGAAAGAAGAGGGGTCCATTCTGTGAAACTTCTTATACTTATGTATGGATGTGTCTTGCTTTGACTGTCTGCTTTCTCTAGACTTCTTGTTTCCCTTCATTCTCTGTCTCTTCTGGGTGTTTCCTGCAAAGGCATTCTCAGAGAGCTGAGTGTGGCCCTCAAGGCAGACTGTATCAGTCATTGGTGAACCATGTCATCAGAGATCTGAAACTAACTAGCTTGCTTGAAGGCTGTGTGACTTAGAATTGGCACACATGTAGAAGAGTCTGTCTATTTTGTTAGAACACAGGTTTACGTAAATATCAACCAGTTTCTAGTTTCACCTCTGATATTTATTATGTCCATTTTACCGATGAGGAAAGTGAGGACAAGAAAAGTTGAATAATTGAGCCAAAGTCACACTTATCTCATGGGGTGTCTGGGAGGATTAAAGAAATGATATAGCAAAGTACTTGGCCTTGAGTAAAATGTTCACTGGAGATATAGAGATAATGGTTACATTCATGTTCATTATATGGTAAGAAGAGATGTGGAAAATGAAAAAAATGAGTTTAGGCCTATTAAATAGACTGGTATAGTCAAGGGCATGTATTGGAAGAGAGGATGATGGGAATAAGGGAAAAAACATTAATGAATGCAGTTACTCAAAATGGAGAAAAACAAGGACAATAAGGAAGGAATGTATCTGAATGGCATGAGCTCATGCGAGTTATGCAGATTTATAGCATGAAAAGAAAGTAAGGTACCAAGCTAGAGACTGTAAATTTGTTTAAGGAAAATGCCAGTGTATCAGCCTATTCCAGGACTCAAAGCAAAGTAGACACAGTGACTTTACAAATGCCAAACAGAGCACATCAGAAATTAGTGTCTTAGTTGTGGAGAACATTATTACCCTGATGGAAAAATGCACCTGAAATCAACTTATTAAACCAAGGTGCATGTCTAGACCCTGTGAGACAGGGGAGTCTCCTGGAGACCCATAGTTTTCAATCCAGGAGGGGTCCTTTCATTCTCTGCTCTGACTTAATCACTTAACTTTATGGGTAAAAATAAAGGGAGTTTTTGAATTAATTTAATTGAGAAGTCCAGAGGTACAGTTGAGGCATAGATGAATTCAGAACCACTCAAAAGTATCACCAAATTACTTCCCTCTCTTCCTCTCTCTCCGTCTGTTTTCCTGGCTACCATATGGGAAGTTGGCCTGAGAATGAAGCCAACACATAGGAAAGCAAGAATGGCCACAGGCATCCCCAACTTCTATTTAGCCAGTTTATCAACCCAATCCAAAGACGGTACCTCTCACCTGATTGCACCAGCGAGAGTTGCAGGTTCACAGTTTTCACTTGTCTGACCTGTTTAAAGTGGTCATCTCTTAGCTAGTCCCTGCAGTCTTGGGGATAATGTGCTGTCAGTGACAACTGAGACGTTTTATACCCTCCCTGAACCAAATGGACCAAGACTAGACAAGGACATGGATTCCTCAAAGAACAATGTGGGGAAGGGAGAGGGAATGCTGGGAGGCAAACGCAACTGACTTCTGGTATCATAAATTATACAGAAATTTAAGACAAATGCAAAGCAAACCCAAAGAACAGAAATGAACCCCCTCCTTTGAAGGCTGTACTCTAAATCTCAGCGGAAACTTGAGAAGGGCTGTCCTTATCCCCTCATTTCACGCCTTGGCCCCCTTTCTTGTAAAGGTGCAGTACAGATCCCCCTGCAGTGAAAGAACTGGGATCCTAGACAGAGGTGCCCTAAAGAATGGGAGGGCAGGGCCCCAGCAAAGGACTCTCAGTCCTCCTTCCTTAGCTTCCTCTGAGAGCCTTCCTGGGGAGCAGCGATGCTGGCTTGGATCGAGCTATCTTGTCTGTGAAATAAATTGAAAATTCTTCACAGTGAGAAGTACTTGACCCTGTTATCAGGATGAGGCGGGCTGGGTTAATCGAGTGACCTCTGTCTGGGAGGGTTCCACCAGCCTTTATTTGGGATCTCTGGTGAGTGAGAAAAGGCTCTTGTGCCCTGAGCTGGCCTCATCAAGGGGAGCGCGTGCTGCTGTCCTGAGGCCAGCTGCTTAGATGTGGAGCAAGCCCTGCCCCTCAAGCATCCCACTTCCTTGCTCCCCTCGGAGTCCTCAGGGGTGAATAAATTTGTTTCTGTCTCTCCTGTAGGGAGGAAAGACCGCCATGCTCTATCGTGATTGTTTGTGATGCTGTGCTGGGGAGATAAGGAGCCTAGGTGTGTTGTCTTTCAGGATCCTTAAAGGACATTAGAACATCTAAAAAGAACAAAAAAGATGTGAAAAAAATGTCAACCACAAAAATATATATATTTCTTCCTTGGCTGTTTTTATTACTCTACACGGTTGGCAGATGCAGAGCCTGAAACCTAAGGAAGAAAGGAAAGGCAGATCTCGATAGGGAGCAGGGTGACAGTTTTAAGAAAATAGAAATTTATTATGAAATGGAATTAATAATCTCTATTTTCTGTATATCCACACATTTTGCTTATCAGTCCAGATCTTTTTAACTTGGGGAGTCAAATTACAAAAATACTCTGGAGTTTACAAGGAAGGTCACTGAAGTAGGAGAACTATAACCAAAAGTGGAGGAGGTAAGAGGTGGACCAGAGCAAATGTGTCAGGAGGAGGTAGAGAGAAGCTTAAAGTGGGTGATGGGAAATCCAAAGGAAACACATATTTATGACGGATTTGTGTCTTCATGAACCATTATCCAGGAGACCCCTTAGGCACTTTAATCAGGCTAAATTTGTGTGTGTGTTTGTGTGTGTGTGTGTGTGTGTGTGTGTGTGTGTGTGTGTTATGAAGGAATGAAATTGAGCTACTGTTAATTAGAATTTAGTATTTGGCTCCATTGCTTCCCTGTCATTCAATGCAAAAAATGTATGAATTGGGAAAGATCTTCCTCTGTTTAACACAAAAGGAATATTCCTCAACTGCTACTTGAAGAGACTTTAATAGTGTGGCAGAATCAAGACTGACCAACTGAGCCAGCTCCCAGGTCATCCCAGGCAACACCCTCTTTAAACATGGCACTAGAATGCTATTAAGTTCAGTAAGATTTGCATTCATCCTACCACCTTCAGAATAAATATTCGTATTTTAGCCCAGTGTAGCTTTGCCATTAATACATTTGTCTAAGCCCATTTGCATCTGCATTTTTACCTTGTACCACTTATTTGGGTTATGTGTTCTATGAATTTATAAACTACTCTACTGTCCTTAAAACTTTTATTTTTTCATGTTTCAAGAATTGCCACTTTACTTCTGATCATCTGATAGTGTTTCCCCCTCTTGATTTCATTAGAAATTGTTTGGATGTTGAATGTGTTCTTTGTGTGGTAACCATCACTGTGTGACTAAATATTTCCAGCCCACTGCTTTCAGGGTACATGATAGGACTGTACCATGAGTCTATTCTGCTGGGGCAGAGCCTCAGGACTGTGGGAGCAGAAGTGATATGTGCCACTTCCAAGCTAAAGTATTCAAATGCACATTGTAGAATTTTGCTAGCTCCTTTTCCCTCTTGTGCTGTATGTAATGAATGGAAATGCTTGTGATGGCCGCTCCACCAGCCAGTGTCCCTGTGTGACCACAGGGAGCCCAACACCACTGCATAGCTGCCATGGATATGACATGTGAGCAAAAAATTGACCTTTCTTGATTGAAGGCCCTGCCCACAGCCATATCTAGTTGATTCTGAGTGCTGCATTCAATCTTCCTCTTGTGTGAAGAAGACAATGAGGAACATTGGTGTTTTCCCTGTCACAGGTCCCTCCCAAGACATCCTTTTGATGATAGCTTTCCTAAAATTCGAATTGAGCCTCCACTGTCCTTTTAAGTGGGACTTTAAATGAAATGTAGGTTGCACTTGAATAATAGGCATATTCCACCAAATAGGCAGATACCAAGAATAATGTGTTGTTTCTATGGCGTGATTGTTTAGCTGATGTGGAATAGAAAATGGACTGTGCTGGAAAGCAGCAGAAGAGGGATGACTGTATACAGGATAAATGAAATTTGTTAAGACAACACGCTTTTCACCAGACAGAAAAAGAAAAAGAAATAAATTCAATTTGCTTTAGCAGGTTCAGTCTCCCTCCTAGAAATCACACAGTATTTCACTTGAGTCTCTATCAGGCAAGTGTTTTTCTTCTCATTTAGGCTGTTGCCATACTTTCCAGTAGAATGCAGTTTATTCTACTCCTTTCTATAGCCGAAGACTCTCCCAAACATTACCCAATTATGCAACTGGTGAACAGAAAGTGGCCCCTCTGAGGATGGTGTTAGGAAATCCCCACTCCTGTAGCCCATATTGGTCACTGGGCATTGGGGCTGATGTTTTAACTTCGGGTGCTTCACAGATGAATGAGAGAAGGCAGCATAATTAATATAAGTGCTGTATTTTCTCATCTTATAAACCTATCCTGCCAGACGTCTCTCCAACTCTCTTCTGCTGTCTCTCTCTTTGTCAGCTTGTTCAAGGAAAATATTTTTAATGGAGATACCCTAGGATTAGGAGTCAAACAAAGCCAAAGTCTAGTCTCAACTCTTCAAATATTAACTGAATAAACTTTGGTATTTCCTTTAAGCTCCATGTTCCTTTCCATGAAGATGCCAGCACTGACACCTAAGATGTGTTCTGCTAGAAAAGATAGTAAGAAGCAAGCAACTTTACCAAAATAGTGTTCACAGCATATATAATGTCCTTTAGAATATATGTAACAACTTGTAATCTTTTGAAAAAATACAGGATAAACACTTCTACAAGTGGTGTGGAAAACATCTAAAATATTGTCAAAATCTGTCAACAGTTTCATACTCATTTCAGTAGAAAAGCACATGGTTCTAATTGAGATTATTCTTATATGCAATGTAAATTTTATTTAGTTTTGTTTTCTTATGCAAATTTTTTCTCACAAAGCATGTGTTCATTGTTGAATGTCCTTTGATGCAAGTTAAATATATGAAACGTACTTTCTGTTACCAGATAATTTTTAAATTTAAATTTCCTTCTTAAAATTTTGTAAGTGACACAGATAGAGCCAATGAAACAATGTTGTAAACCAAAACAAAACCAAGTAGTTAATTATTTTCACAAGGGTCTCTCCTGGAGATTATAAATTAAAAATATGTTATTTTGATAAACTCCATTTTCTGGTTTAGCTATTGGTATATCTCACTTGAAGAGAAAACATTCTCAGTGATAAGAAACAAATATTGCGGCCAGGCACAGTGGCTCACACCTGTAATTCCAGCACTTTGGGAGGCTGAGGCGGGTGGATCACTTGTGGTCAGGAGTTCGAGACCAGCCTGGCCAACATGGTGAAACACTGTCTCTGCTAAAAATACAAAACAAACAAACAAACAACAAAATAGCCGGATGTGGTGGCAGGCGCCTGTAATCCCAGCTACTCAGGAGGTTGAGGCAGGAGAATCACTTGAATCAGGGAGGCGGAGGTTGCAGTGAGCCGAGATCGCGCCATTGCACTCCAGCCTGGGCGACAAGAGCAAGACTCCAACTCTGTCTCAAAAAAAAAAAAAGAAAGAAAGAAAGAAAGAAATATGGCTTCACCTGGTTGAAAGTGGGGAGTCTTTCTCCCACAAATACATGTAGTTCCCTTTAGTCCATGTGATAAATTTGGCAAAACAGGCTAATTCCCTCATTACTTTTGACCAAGTCTTTCATATTTGAATAAAAAATATTTTTTCTGAAATTCTGTATCTGTGTGTGTGCATGTATGTGTGTGTATTTCATAGCTAAAACCTTTGTGATAGACCTCTAAAAACTCCACTGTCTGATTCCTATAAAGACTCTGCCAATTAAAAGATAAGAACACAGAGGAAAACCATTGTATGCAATCTGTGTTAGAAATCCACTTCTCCACTTCTCCTTCTCCTTCCCCTCCCCTTCCTTCTCCTCCTCCTCCTCCTCTTTTTTTTTTTGAATTAGAGTTTTACTCTGTCTCTGAGGCTGGAGTGCAGTGGCATGATCTTGGCTCACTGCAACGTCTGCCTTCTGGGTTCAAGTGATTTTTCTGGCCTCAGCCTCCCAAGTAACTGGGAGTACAGGTGTGCACCACCATGCCTGGCTAATTTTTTGTAGTTTTAGTAGAGATGGGATTTCACCATGTTGGCCATGCTGGTCTCGAACTCCTGAACTGAAGTGATCCACCCACCTCAGCCTCCCAAAGTGAGCCACTGTGCCCGGCCAGAAATCCACTTCTGTAAACCTGAATCATTCTGGTTGATTCCCAGCACCCAAGAAAAGAAGTAGCCTAATACACAGAATAAAGTTGTTTTTGTTTTCAGCATAGTTTTATGACAATCTTGTTTTTCTGCATTGTTTGCTAAATGACAGCATTTGAAAGGCTGGGCTTGCTCTGGATCCCAGGTGCTCAACGACTGGGCAGTGATGGTCATCCTCTGTTCCTGTTGTTCAGGAGAGAAGTTTATCTGTGGGGCAGTTCAGTTCTGTCACCAATCAGGGGCTTCTGCAGGTGACTGTCTGTTTCCAAACTAAGCCATCAGGCCCTGCTTAACAAATAAAGGGATTAAAGGCGTTATTTTGGCAACTCACTGAAGGAAATAAAACTCAACAAATAGAAAAGGAAAAAAAAATTAAGAATTTAATTAGCAGAATGATGGTCAGAAAGCATCTAATTAGACTTAAATAACATGTTAAGTAAAATATTAAGTGATTATTAGAATATTAAAAATAAGGCTAGCAGACCAGATAAAAGTAATAGGAGTGGGCCGGGCGCAGTGGCTCATGCCTGTAATCCTAGCACTTCGGGAGGCTGAGGCGGGCTGATCACAAGGTCAAGAGATCAAGACCATCCTGGCCAACATGGTGAAATCCCATCTCTACTAAAAATACAAAAAATAGCTGGGTGTGTTGGCTTACGCCTGTAGTCCCAACTACTCAGGAGGCTGAGGCAGGAGAATCGCTTGAACCCAGGAGGTGGAGGTTGCGGTGAGCTGAGATTGTGCCACTGCACTCCAGCCTGGCAAGAGAGCAAGACTCCATCTCAAATAATAATAATAATAATAATAATAATAATAATAATAATAATATAATAGGAGTGTTGTTATCCCCGTAACTTTTCAGAAATTCCTCAACATTATAAAGGACACAGCAAATGGAGCTAGGTTTTCTACTCTAAACAGACGAACCATTTTACCTCATCCATAAAACCTTACCTTACACTATTTCTACCCAAATGAAGTTATTTGCCCCGTGCTTGGGGTTAAATATTTCATAGTCCAGAATTCCATGGGTCTGCCCGGTATCCGTGTGTCAGCCTGAGGAACAGTTTAGATAATATTTATAAGCATGAAATAAAGGTTAGCCAATTTGTTACTTACGTTGTGGCTGTACTTTGTTTCAATTGCATATTTTAGCAGAACTATATTTACCATACAATAAATATTCATAAAGTGTTTTGTGAAAATCACATGGTTTGGGAAATAGAATGGAAGTAAAATGAATATATATTAATCTTATCGGAATGTGTAAATTGTATATACTTCTTTTAAGTCCTCATGCATAACAAATGTTCTCTCAAAAGACTGGGGGTAAGTTTTCTAAGATCATACAGAATAATTTTTAAAGAGTATAATTATTTTCATTCACTAATAGTTTCTTCTATTTTGTTGCAATTAGCACGTAAAGACAGGTCATGCTTAAAAATAATTGTATCTGCATATTCTGGAATTAAATCAAAATCATATAAACCTTATTTATATAACTCACGGGTATAATATTGTGATACCTTGGTGAAAATAGTAAATATTTCTAAGCTTATTGGTTTATAATCAGTATGACACTTTTGGTGTCACTAACTATGCTTCTTTTTTCAGATATCAGAATTGCTGATCCACACGCTCAACCAAAACTCAGTACACTTCGAGCTGAAGCCAGGAGTCCGAGTCCTTGTCCATGCTGCTCACTTAACAGCGGGTCAGTGTCCATGTCCCGGGGTTCTGGCTGGTGGCTCTGGCAAAGGGAATCCTAGTCCGTGCTTCCTTCCTCATAAAAAGGCTAGATGGTAACAATGCTAATCAGAAATCAAATCAGTCATCGGATCTTGGAGGTTCCCTTGCTTGGTGTTTCTGCCTTAATGGAGAACCGTTAAACAACAGAAAAAGGTGACACTTTCAGCTGGGTTCAGTGGCTCATGCCTGTGATCCCACCACTTTGGGAGACTGGGGTGGGTGGATCACTTGAGGTCAGGTGTTTGAGATCAGTCTGACCAACGTGGTGAAACCCCATCTGTACTAAACATACAAAAATCAGCTGGGCAGGGTGGTGCATGCCTGTAGTCCCAGCTACTTGAGAGGCTGAGGCAGGAGAATCGCTTGAACCCGGGAGGCAGAGGTTACAGTGAGCCGAGATCACGCCACCGCACTCCAACCTGGGTGACCCAGTGAGAAGGTAATATTTTATACTTAGTCTCTGGCAAAAACTGTCAGCAAACCGCTTATATACGTCTCACATGGAAGCATGCTTTATTTATCTCATCAGAAATCCTGAAAATAACATTAACAAATACATTTGTGGGGGTCTTTCTGCAAAGTCTTATTTTCAACATATTCATATTACAAAGAATTTTCTTTCTTTACGTTTCAGGATAATGTAACGCAGTAGAGATAGCAGGAACTTAGGAGTGGTACAGGGCCACACCCAGGAATTGAACCTGGAATTGGTCATGATCTTACAATTTACTTAATGTCATTGAGCTTCCATCTCTTCAACTGAGAAGGTGGTGGTGAGGATGGGGGATCCTCCTTCTAAGCTTATGGAGAGTTTTCAATAATAATACAAGTAACTTAGAATAGATGATAACACAAGTAGCTTAGGATAGTTTTCAATGATAATACAAGCACTTAGAAACAGACATTGTTGTGATGTATTAATAATAAATTAACAATATTTATTGAGTACTTATTTTTGCAGAGTACCATGCTGGTGCTCCATGGAGTACAAACACCAGTGCAAAGTGGTCTTCATCTTCACAAAACTTATAACCTGGTTGTGGTGTGGGGAAGTTCGGTGTAGCAATGGCAGTGGTACTGTGGGATGGGAAGAATTGGCAGTGGAGAGTAGTCAGTGAGCAAACTGCATAAATGCTTATAGAGAGAGAGACTACGTAACATATTTAAGCACTTGGATTTTTTTTTCCAGTCAGAACATTGGTTTCAATCTTGGCTTTGTTACTCACTATGGAATCCTGGGAAAGACATTTAACTTCTGTATGTCTCAGAGATGGTAATAGCATCTCTGCCAGTGGGATTGTGTGAAGATTAATTCAGGTAATGCACTTAGGATAGTGTCTGAAACATAGCTTTAATATTTATTTTTACTGTTATTATTATTAGCAACTAAAGCTGTATAGGAAATTTAAAGCAGGTATGAGTTATATCCTGTCAAAATGATACAGGATTGTTTCATGGAGTAGGTGGTTTCGAGGAAGAACCTTAAAGTATGGATAGCATTAAATGCAAGAGGTCATTCTAAGCACCAAAGCACCAAGGAAGTAAAGCCTAAAGGGCTTTGGGGATGCTGAGTAAATGAGGACAAAAAGTAGCTATTGCAAGCACCATTCTCTGGTTTCCTGGAGATTTCACGAGGCTCTGCTAGGTCTAGCGGAAGGCCAAGCAGGCTGACCACTGACTTCTTACCTTCTTGGATTTTATCTTTTTTCTTTATTGGATTTCATAGAATATTTTATTGCTCTTGTTGTTTTTTCAATCCCACTATTTAAAGTCACTGTTCCTCAGCATGGAGTATGGAGGTGTGGAGGGTGGAAACATGCCAGGGTGTGCCGTTTGTACTTACTTTAGTGAGTAAGCCATCAAAGGTCTGGGAAGCCATCAAGACCTTTGAACAGAAGTGTGACTGATTCAGAGCATTCCTTGAAAAAGATGAGTGTAAGGAGCAAGGAGGATTGAGTAGGGCACATCTCCTATTCTGCATCTTTTCACCCTAACACATCCATTGAACAGATATTTACCGAGTGCCTGCCTACGCTGGGCCAAGCAATGTTGTCAACATAGGGGACAGAGTCTCTGCCCTCATAAACTGCTATTGCTGGTAAAAGCCACTTTCTGAATCGTATGCTGGTGAAAATTCTCTGAAGAAAAGGCTGCCACTGCCAACTTATCTCAGGGCATTTGATGGTCCTGACTGGCCTTTTCCTACCCAAAATGTTGAGCTTTGGTGTTTGGTGAATGGGGGTAGCACATGGCAGAGTCACACATGACTAGTTGTATGGGAGAATGATCAAATTCCAGAAACAAGAGTTGTAGTCATCCTAATAGCCAAGCCACTGACAAATGTCAACTGAGTAGAAAGTAACCACTGAATATCGTTTTAAAAAGATTCACTGATTTATTTCATCTAATCAGACCATGGAGCCTGTTTAGGTAGCAGACTGAACTTCATCAGCCACTACTTGTTCCCTTTGAGTTTAGAAATTAAAAACAACTAAGCCGGATATTCCATACTGAAGTCTGGGTTTGAAGGGATGTGGCCAACTTGTCTATCCTTCATGATGCAAAATTTGCTTTTATAGCATAAGCAGCCTTTGAATGAACACTATCTTTAGGTTTGGTGTATCCGAACACAGTGCCTTTTTTAGTCCGGAGACCTTGCTCTGTTGAACAGGAGAGCACTGGAGGTCAAGCTAGACCTGGAACTAACCCTATTTCTCCCATTCTTCAATTCTGGAGGCCATTCACATTTCACTCTTTTTCTTCCTTCCATACTTCTCCTCCATCTGTGTCTGGTTTTTATTTAACTGATTATTGCATTATGCTCTAATGATGGTTCAGATCATTTTGGAAGATAATGAATGTTCCCACCACAAAGAAACGATAAATGATTGAAATGATGGATATGTTAATTACCCAGATCTGATCACTATGCTTATGTATCACAGCATCACTATGTACCCCATGAATATGTATAATTGTTATGTGTGAATTTAAAAAATTTTAAAAGATTGATATGTTAACCGTATTTAACTTTAGGGAGAAGTGGTATGTAAAAAAAAGGAAACCTTATTTTAAATGTTACTTAAGGAAACTTTCTTCAATGACAAATAGTTTAGAGCTGGGACCAAGCTGAAATATTGAGATCAAAAAGTGGGTAATTAGCTGAGACTGGTTTGGCCAGCTGGCTTGGCCAGAGAAACTGAATACAGCAAAGGCATCCAAAGGTCCTTGGATTTATAGCTCCATGTGGGAAGGGAAGTCAATTCCTGATAACCATGATATGTTAATCCCACTGGTAAAAACTCCAGATGACAAAAAATAATGCAAAGTTGGGAAGAACTGAAAAATGTTTCCAATTCATGTTTGTAGTTTTTTCTATAACTAGGAGTTTCGGAAGCAGGACTAAGACTCCTGGGAAGAAGGGCTGGCAAAAGGGAGGTATATTTTGGGGACCCAGATATGCACACTGAGATTTAAAGAAGAACCCCTTGCAGTATAGGTATGTGTAACACAAAGTCACCAAAGAAAAAAATATCCATTTCCAAATAAAAGCCCAATCTTAGCCTGGACCAATTTGGAGAGAGTGAGAAAATTCTTTGACTTCCAACCATTGTAGAAATCTTTCCTGTTAGTTTTGATAGTAGGGTCTTTCGGCTATATAATTCCAAGCCTGATCAACTGGCATTATTAAGTTTTCTGTCATGGCTAGTTCAGCAACTGGAGTAGATATAGATTTATATGTGGATAATTAGCTCCAGTTTGATAAGTAAACAAAGATAATGTCATGGGCTGATGGAATAACTGAGTTTTGGAAACTTTTGCTATATTGAGTTTGGCTATGCTGGTCATAACGCATTAGAGCTGGCGGTGTCCACAGGAGCACAGTCACTCAGGGCTCGATTTTCTTATGCAAAAGACAAACGTGTCAACGGGAACAGCAATTGTGATAAGGAAGTAAAATATGGGAGGGATCTGTTTCCTGTTGGTGATTGCTCCTACGTTACCTTTAGCTACCTGATTAAAAGAAAAAAAGAAAAAAAATATTTGAATAGGGTGGTAGACCCTACATATACAAAAAACAGTGGAGGGAATTCCCCCTTCACTCATGGAAAACTTGGCACTTTGGTAGGGTATCGGTGGGCCGAGACACACTTGCCACAGTTTTGTTTCTTTTTTTTTTTTTTTTTGAGATGGGGTCTCACCCAGTCACCCAAGCTGGAGTGAAGTGGCATGATCTCGGATCACTGCAACCTCTGCCCCCTGGGCTCAAGCCCTCAGCCTCCCAAGTAGCTGGGACCAGATTCATGCCACCATGCCCGGCTAAGTTTCTTTGTGTTTTTGGTAGAGACAGGGTTTCACCATGTTGCCCAGGCTGGTCTCAAACTCCTGAGCTCAAGTGATCTGTCTGCCTCAGCCTCCCAAAGTGCTGGGATTACAGGCATGAGCCACCACAATTGCTTTTATTAGGTTGAAATTAACACATTAATATTTGGGTGGCTAGGAAGAGAAGGAGAAGGAAGCCTGAAAAAAAAAAAAAAGAGAAACAGTGGGGAGGAGTATTAGATGTAGAACTTCCACATCAACTCTATTTCTCTTTCTCTCATCCCCCCTGTAGGCAGGGGAAAATAAAAATTAAAAGAAAAAAAAAAGAACCATTGTTAGCAACATTTCATGTCTCATAAGCAGGATTGCTAATACCTTCCCAGGGACCATTACAACATGCTGTTGCATCCCATTAATTGCTCAGCAGATGTTCAGCAGCCTTCTTTTAAAAATGTTTGAGCCAGAGTATGTTGTTGGTGAGAGAAGCAAATGCATAATTTGGTTTGTCTCCAAGGAAAAAGAACTGTCTCTTTTCAAGAATTTACTAGCCTTATTTTGGTTTTCAGATTCACTTCCCTGTTTGCTTTTATGGGAACACAAGGAAAGCATTTGCAGATACCTGAATGTCATTAGAGACTGGATGGTGTCTGCCCCCCACCCACCAACACGTTCCATTTGGGAATTCATTAACTGTGGTATCTAAGCTGAGCTAAATTTTGAATGTAGTCCTTGTTTTGTTCCTAGCCATTCCTGTGGTTCTTGGTTTTCATGCAGTTTTTCTTAAGGGTCTAACCACTCCTGACAGGTATGTTTCTGAAATTCTCTTTGCGGAAAGGAGAGACTTGAACCTGTATGAGAATAAGGGAGAATGAGAAACATGTTATCCAGAAGGTTGAGGGAGGGTCATGGCCTGAGTGGCTCCCTTTGACTTTTAGTACCTGATGGCAGCTGGCATCCATGTTTAGCAAACAAAGGCTATGATGTTGCAAAAACAATACAAAGAGTTGGAAAAGGGAATAGAATGCAGTCAAGCTAGTGTTAGACTGGAAGCACTGCTGTCTTGACCAAAGTGTACGTCTACTCATGATATTCCAGATTGGAATATTTCTCCCCACTTCTTCACCTATTTCTCCTTGTCCACCTGTACTTTAAGGCTCAGTTCAATGCCAACATTTGCATGACATCTTTCCAGAGACATTTGCCTGGACAACATCTTCCCCTTGTCTGAAATCACATGGATTTCTAGATCTTTATCTGTCTGATGTTGATGATCATGACCATCACCTTTTGAATCACTCCTATTTAATTTCTTTTGGATATAGTTCATCATGTCTTTATATCAGCTTCTTCATATATCTTTATATCATCTTCATCATTTTACCTAGCAGATAACTTGCACATATCAGGTGCTTAACAAATATTGTTTTTATGAATAATTATATGCATAATTTATAGCCTGCAGAGATATATTCAAAATCCCATTCCCGCAGTTAACCTTCAGATCCAGTTTATTCAGTTTATTCATTTGTGAACCTGTCCCCATGACATGCTTCTTCTTATCAAATAACTCATCAGTGGAGACTTGCATTCATTTACACAATAAGCATCTAGGGAATCTTTGTATTTTTTTTTCTTATGGCAGGTGTTCTTTAAATATGCATTGTAATTGTTTATATACACATTGTGGGGAATGGGCAGTTGAAAGAAAACTGGGCCTATCCTTCCTGGAGTTCTACGTCCCAGAAAGAGAGATCTGAGAGAGAATGGGAGAACGACTGGCAGGCGACTGTTACCAAAAGAGACTGAATCACTGGTCCCTATTTTATTGCTCTGGCCACTGGAAGACATGGTTTCAGTGTCAGAGCAGCTTCACTTCATGGCATAGCTCATGGTCACGTACCTTGGACTGCACACTCCTCACCTTAACAAACCAGCCAAACCTTCTTCACATCTTCTGTGATGCCTCCCTTGTCCTCCCCATCTCTCGTGTATGCATTTGCCCTAGCCTTCTGTATCGTGTATCTTAAGAGCTATAATGGGCTGGGTGCACTGGCTCATGCCTGTAATACCAGCACTTTGGGAGCATGAGGTGGGTGGATCACCTGAGGTCAGGAGTTCAAGACCAGCCTGACCAACACGGTGAAATCCCATCTCTATCAAAAGTACAATAATTAGCCAGGCATGGTGGCGTGCACCTGTAGCCCCAGCTACTCGGGAGGCTGAGGCACAAGATTCACTTTAACCCAGAAGGCAGAGGTTGCAGTGAGCTGAGATCATGCCACTGCACTCCAGCCTGGGCAACAGAGCAAGACTCCATCTCAAAACAAAAACAAAAACATAAAACAGCTATGATGTCATTTTAGGGAGAGTTTTTCTAGCAAGAATCTGGAAGGCCCTGAATCTAATGCACACCATTTGATCCATATAGTTACTTGTGGAAGAACAAACCTGAGCCGTTAAGAAAATATCCCTAAAGTGCCAATAGTTTTCTCATTGACCCTAGTAACTTGAAATGTACTCAAGGGCAGGATCCATTTTTAGATTTATCATCTTATTCTTCACATGACTCTATGCCTTACTTTGAAATTATTCCTTTAAACCTATAGTTTATCAGGGCATATGAGATGAGTGAGGGCCCTCACTCACACTGAGCTGGCTAGACCTGAGGCACAAATACTAGTTGCATGAAACTTTACTAAATTCTAAATGAGGAGAATGAAAAAATGTTCTATGCAGAAGATTCAGTAAAGCTGAGTCTTTAAGGTTGAATAGGAATTCACCAAAAAAAGAGCAAATAAGCATTGCAGGTTGAGAGGCCAGGTTGCACAAAGGCACAGAAAGGTGGAATTATATGGTTTATGTATAAAATTATGTGTTGTCTGACATGGATTGGGGCTTCTAGATATATACCCTCAAATATTCATAATTAGTATATTTACTGAGGGTAAAATAATGAGCAAAGGGAGAGGGATAAAATTCAGGAAAAATAATATGCTAGTATATTATAAACTTTGTTGTCCATCATCCATTGTGCGCTAGTGAAGAAATTTTATTAATGCAAATTTGAGATGATAAGGTATAATGAATTTGGAAAATGAAAAAAAGGCTGCTAGAAGGATTTTGGGGTTTTTTCCTTTAATAATAGGTTTGGGCAAAACTCCATTATCATTTCTATTTTTAACAAAGTATTTACACACAAGTTTACAACTCAAGTGGCAAGTGGCAAGATATGGTAATTTGTTTAGTCGAGATGGAGACCTGGGAGGTGGAGCTTGTTTTTTTTTTTTTTTTTTTTCGTCGTCAAAGACGATAAATTTGGTGGTTCATGTTGGGTTGGATGTCATCAAACATATAAGTGAAAAACCCCATCAGGAAGCTGGAAATATGGAATGGAAACTCAGGTGAGAAGACCAGGACCAGAATATACATTCAACTATGAGCTTTAATTTACCATCTCATAGCAGATCATCAGGTGAGGGGAATCTGCTGACAGGTGATAAGTTAAAGCCTTAATTGCCGATTTAAATCTTTCAAGCTCTATCAAACCCTGTATCTTTGTTCTCATGAGAACCCTTGGTCATGAGTAAATTTAGTCCTTATATTTGGTGGGGAGAAGGAGGGAGTGGGAAATGACTTGAAAACCTGTTGACTCTTCTAAGACAGAATAGGTAAGGTTTCCATGAGAATAGAAAGTAAAAAGAGGGCAAGCAAGGGGCAACACTGACTTTTATTTGAGAAGGCAAAAGCCTAACTAGATGGATACCTCCTAAATAGCAAATAACAACCCTTTAGGGATTATGTGCCCTTCGTAAGTTATGTACTGGGCAAATGAACTGCAATTTGGATGGTGGGACTTCTGCTCAAAGAACTAAAAGAGCTGGAGCTGACTAGTTCCCTCAAAGCATTTGAGATACATGAAACCCTGCCCCATAGTTAGAAAACTCTTTCCAACTCAGGGTGGGAGATATCTGCTATAAATAGCAGCTGTTCTCAAACGTGACTTTACATTGCAATTAACTTAGGAAGCTTTATAAAGATAGAGATTTTCTAAGCCTCACCACACACAGTGAAGAATCCCAAGGAGCCAGGAATAGGAATCTTCTTTTTTTTTTTTTTTTTTTTTTTTTTTTTTGAGATGGAGTCTTGCCCTGTCACCCAGGCTGGAGTGCAGTGGCGTGATCTCGGCTCACTGCAAGCTCTGCCTCCTGGGTTCACGCCATTCTCCTGCCTCAGCCTCCGGAGTAGCTGGAACCGCAGGCACCTGCCACCACGCCCGGCTAATTTTTTGTATTTTTAGTAGAGATGGGGTTTCACCGTGTTGGCCAGGATGGTCTCGATCTCCTGACCTCGTGATCTGCCCACCTTGGCCTCCCAAAGTGCTGGGATTACAGCCATGAGCCACCGCGCCCGGCCCCAGGAATCTTCATTTTTAGCAAGTTTCTGCTAATGATGCTTACGACGGTGGCCTCTTCACTGGTCTTAACAACCACTGTTCAACAGCCTTTCACAGACAGAAATCCATCTGCATAACAAGGAAAGGTGAACGACTATCTCCAGTAATAAATCTGATTTACAACTCAAGCCATCCACTAAAACAGAAGCATGAATTAAATAAGGAGAGCCTGTGATATTAAGTACAGGAGGAAATTAGTAATAAATATTAAAATCTAATTTCTTGGAATATTTGGAGCTAACCTAATTGGCAGAATGGGCAAATGACAATGAGGAAGGGGGAGAAAATGAAACATGCCCCTGAATCTGGGGCATATTAAATCCATAATCTAGATGAATGGCAAAGGCCAGCCAAGAGCTGTGGCCATGAAGCAGTTGAAACATGATTAAAGTGTGAACTGGAATCTTAATGGCAGATGTAATTGAACAGCCTTGAGTTTTATGAGAGTTAAACAAATAATATTATCTAGATGCTGTTCATGTGCCAGTGTGAGCATAAAATGATACAGCTACATTTCACTATATGTCTGTACATATTTCAGAATTCAGAGGTTGCCCTACGCTGGGCTTTCCAGTTTGGTCGCTGTTCGTCTGGAGTTCTGGATAAACGCACATTATAAAAATGGTAAAGGGTTAATATTTATCAAAGGAAGAGCCTCAAACCTCAGGTTAAATAAAAAAACATGACCCCCCCCAAAAAAAATACACAGGAACTTTGCTTCTACCTCCTCCTGTCTGTCTATCAGTTGCCTTATTTAAACTGCTCGGTTCAGGAAAACTGTCCTTTGTCAAGGGTATGTGTGGGTTTTTTAATAAAACTGTTATCTTGTGTTATCTTGGCCTCTATGGCTGCTGCTGACTGGTTTAATTTCTTTTGCAGGTGTAATAAAAAGATGTTATCACAGAGATATTAGAGAATTAATATTTCCAGGCTTCAGTTGCTACCACTGGATGTGTTATGAGTAAATTTGGGAGGGAATAAGAAACTTCAAATTTCGACCTAGGTCGTGATACATCATGAATTCTGCACTACAATTTCACATTGAGAAAAAGACTTTCCACTTGAAGGGAGAATTACCGTTCGTCAAGAAGTTTTAGAAACTACAATATAATCTCAGCCACAACATTATGGATGCAGATGCCAAATAGGAGTTGTGGAACTCTGAACTGTAAAGTGAAGTAAATTGTTGCAATAACATTTTCCATTTAGGGATGAAATTAGTACTGGTGAAATTCTTCCACAGCCAGTAAGTTTATCTGTCTCTTTAGTTTTCGGTCACCGTATTATCTACATAGTAATCATTTACAAGTCTTTTTTAAGTAAAGCCTTGGTACCGATATGTTTTCTTCCTTTTATTTTTCCCCAAAATAAATATATTTTTTATCTTCAAGTAATTAGGTAGTTGCACAGATACATAGACCCAGCGGCTTTTCATAGTTATTTAATCATTATGGTGTTATAAACAATAGTGGGTTTATCATGTAGATATATATCTAAATATATCCCTCCCCGCAATATGATTAAATGTGATATTTTCATCTACCTACCAGCGTGCAGCAATGAGGTTGCTCGTTGGCTTCGTTTAGACACAGAATCTAGTTCTGTTTTCCAGTCTGGAGGGCAGGGGCACATCATAGCTCACTACAGCCTTGAACACCTGGGCTCAAGCGATCTGTCTGCCTCAGCCTCTCGAGTAGCTAGGACTACAGGCACGCACCACCACATCCAATTAATATTTTTATTTTCTGTAGAGACAGGGTGTTGCTATGTTGCCCAGGCTGATCTCAAACTCTTGGCCTCAGGAGATTCACCCACTTCAGCCTCTCAAAGCATTGAGATTGCAGGCATGAGCCACCATGCCTGGCCTAGCTTCTAATAAATTCTTTCTTCACCATTTCTTTTTTTCTGAGATTACGGGGGACCGTAAAAGGGGCTGAAATGATTACAGGGTAACTAGACTGAGTTAGCCAGGCTAGAGGATATGTCTGGAAACTCTTGGTCAGAGAATGGTCAGCAAGGAACAGTCAGATGAACAGAAACAGGGGCACAAACATGCGTCAGAAATGCAGTATCCCAGGGGAAGGCAAGGCAGATAGTCAAGAGAAATTAGCAAAAAGAAAAAAAAAAAGTAAAGCAAAGGGGAAGGATAACACATATAAAATACAGACAAGATGCCAGAACATAGGACAAGCTACCCTTTAGACACCAAGTTTCTGATACCTAGAGTGATCAGGACTGTCCTGGGTTATCTATGCTATATCAGCGTAAGCTTTAATAGCGCCCCCTTTCATTCTTAAAGTGTCTTATCTTTGAAAATAATATGTATGGTCTTCTTACTTTTACCCTGCCACCCTGAGAGTGGGGATAGAAGACTATACCAAAAATTGGCTAATGTGGAGCTCAAAGGTAATAATTGGTAATTGAATGTTTAACCAGTTGAAAGAGACTTTTGAGGAAAGTAAATAAGCTATTGCTATGTAACAAACCACCTAGAAGTTCAGTGGCTTAATAGTAAGCATTTATTTTTGCTTATGCGTCTAGTCTTATCTACATTCACTTGTCTGTCTGCAATCAGCTATGGGTTGTTGGTTGGGGAGCTCTGCTGATCTTGGCTGGTCTGTCTCACATGTTACGGGTCAGCTGCCTGCAGGCTGCTCTAGCATGCTTTGGTTGGAATAATTAACCTGGCCTCTACATGGCCTTTCATCCTTTGACTGTTCTGGTCTTGCTCACACATGGCAGTGGTAGGATTCCAAGAGAAAAAGCAGAGGTATGCAAGGCCGTGAAATTCACAATTAGCACACCATTGCTTCCATTGCATTCCATTGCCAGATGCAGATTATAATAATAGCTCAGATTCAAGACATGAAGAAACAGATTTTACCTCTTGCCTTTTAGGTGAGACAAGCTTCAAACTCATTGCACAAAGTTTAGACACAGAGAAGGGTAGAGGATTGAGCCAGCAATGTAATCCATATCTACATGAGGCTGACTGCTCACTTAGGGGAGACTTGAGATGCTTTTAGGTAGTTTAACAAACTTTCTTCTGGAGCCATCACCAGATTGAGCTACTATCAACAGCAAAGGGGAACATTTGTGTGTGTAGGGGGGTATTTTTGCTTTGTTTTAGTGATCCAGAAAATATAAAAGTCAGGCATGCCCTAAAGACAGGACTGGAAGTTTTATGAGTGAGAATATCTGGGGCCTGCTATGCGGTATTCTCAAACTGTTATACATAATAATTACCTGGGTACCTTGTCACATATATGGATTTTGGAGACCTACTCTCAAAGACTATACATTTTTTTTTTTTTTTGAGACAGAGTCTCACTCTGTTGCCTAGGCTGGAGTACAGTGGCACGATCTTGGCTCACTGCAAGCTCCACCTCCCGGGTTCATGCCATTCTCCTGCCTCAACCTCCCGAGTAGCTGGGACTACAGGTGCCTGCCACCATGCCTGGCTAATTTTTTTTGGACTATACATGTTTTTTTTTCAAGTGAAGCCTAGCTAACAATATTTTCACAAGTGCTCCAAGTAATTCTGATTCAGGTAGTCCATAAGCTACACTTTGAGGAATATTTCACATAGTAGCCAGGAATCATCACCTTCCAACCTTAGAAAACCATAAGTCATTCTTCTCCTCTTGTCTGTTTATTATGATGATGGTTGGTCTTGGAGTTACTGATGTTTGTCATTACTTGGCTAAGTGACCTCAACTCCCTGTCACTGGATATTACTGAAGATTCACCCTCAGTTTAAATTCAGAAACAATGCTTCACTTGTCATTAGAGCTACTAAAGGACAAACTGAGACACATTAAAATGTTAAAGAGTTTATTTGGGCAAACAATGATTCATTAATCAGTTAGCACTAGACCACAGTTGATTTAGGGCTCCCTAAAAGGCATGAGGCTTTTATGGGGTGAAGGTGAAAGCTAGGCAAAGAAAATATTTGATCGGTTAAAATGGAGGAATAGCCTTCTTTGGATAATTCTAGTAGAAAGTCTCTCATTAGATATTAGCTAGTGGTTTCTAATTGATTAAGCTTAAGTTTTGTTTTCCTAGAATATGACTGTTTACTCTTTACTTGGGTTTTGGTTTGGTTACATAGGAACCCAGGACGCCAGAGCTGCCTCAGTCTAATGGCCTCCCAATTGGCTACTTTAACAAGAGACTTCCCTGGAAATTCCCACCTAGTCTAGTCTGCAGTCTTGTGGCTTTTTCCCAATAACATAGGAAACTTTAAGACTCTGATGATTGGATTTGTTTCTAAATGGAGGGAAGGCCCATTGGACAACTGAAAGTGCTCTGTAAATGGAAGCCTTTCTGCCTATTCTGCATTCTGGATAAACTTTCTCTGTGCTATTCCCATATCACTGTAATTTCTGAAAAAATATTTCAGACCACATGGATTTTGTGATATTCAAAGCATATAACTCAAGCCTGAATTGAGTCTACTTTGGGGTCAGGAGAGGAAAAAAGAATATCAAGGTATGGTAAATTACTTCTACAACATCCTGAAAACACTAACTCTTGGATTAGAATTAGAGTTGAAAGTTTCGGGGTCATAGTGCAAGTAGCAGTTCTCCAGGAATGTCCTTTTGATAGAATGAAAGTGAACACTGGACAACAATAAGATTGTTCTGCATGGCTTCACTGGGTGATGCTACCATGTTATTGACCTTAAAACTTGGAAAGAAACCGAGCAAAGGGCAAAACTGCAGCAAGGGGGACCGGGTGCAATGGCTCACACCTGTAATCCCAGCACTTTGGGAGGTCAAGGCGGGTGGATCACTCAAGGTTAGCGTTCGAGACCAGCCTGGCCAACATGGTGAAACCCCATCTCTACTAAAAGTACAAAAAAAAAAATTAGCCATGCGTGGTGGCAGGTGCCTGTAATCTCAGCTACTCGAGAGGCTGAGGCAAGAGAATTGATTGAACACAGGAGAAGATTGCAGTGAATCGAGATTGTGTCACTGTACTCCAGTCTGGGTGACAAAGCAAGACTTCATCTAAAAACAAAACAAAACAAAACGAAAAAACTGCAGCAACAGGGAAAGCAGTGCCTGGGGAGAGGCATTTCCTAGAGTGTTATGTGGAACCTAGTTCTGCAAAGGGTCTGTGGTCAAATGAGTTTATGAAAGACTATGGTAAAGTTAAATGTGTTCTTTTCTGCAAGGGCTGCTGTGATCATTTAATATACTGATGTGCATTGTGAATCTCCATATGGGGAATGTTGTATGTATCATTGCCCCAAATTATCTCACCAGGGAACTGTCATCATTTTTCAGGATTTTTTTTCTGTAGAAGAATACACTTTCAGAAATATGATAGCAATAATATGACAATGTTAGAAATATTGGGCATGTAGTCTGTCCCAAATACTATGACAGTACTTTATAAATTCCATCTCATTTTAATCTCACAAATTTCTAGACTAAACACTAGTTTCGTCTCCATTTTGCAGATGAGGAAACTGAGATTTAATTTAAGTCACTTAGTCTATAAGTGACAGAGCCAGGTTTGATTCTGAAAAGGGCTCATATCATTACTTAACCCCAAATGTGGAATTTTGAATTTGTTCTCATACATACAACTATAACCATTTATTTAGCACTTACTACGTGGCAATCACTTTTCACAAGAAGATTGTTGTTATTATTGTAAGTGTTCCCATTATTATCGTTCCAGGTCCTCATGAATAAAATATAAAAATTCAATGCATTTCCAAATTCCTCAGAGGATTTTAGAAATGATATGTGCAAGTACGCAGGCTTAAAAATGTTGAGTCACTTGGAGTACTGCTGGTATCCATGTTTTACTTTGTGCATGAATAATGGCAAAAAACTGCTCAGCACTTTCCCCTACACGTCTACCTTGTTTAAGCTGCAACTGGAAAGGGATTAAAGTATGCTAATTCCACACAACAAGCTAAAGCCCATTTATCACAAGTTTCCATCCCTCAGCAAAACACACACAAATGCACCTAAGTGCTGGGCAAACTAAGAAATGCAGCTGCTGTTGTATGGAGCAATAATAGGTCCCTTTATACTCAGGCACCAATCAGCAAGCAGACACCACCCACGGAACAGAGGGCAGTGGTAGTCAGTCTCTGGCCACTGCTGCTGGCTGCTTCCTGCTTCCTGCTTCCTGCCTCTGAGAAATGACTGACTGATGCAGAGATGGGGAGGGTGAATGGATAACACACATTTTAGAACTGGGATACAGAAGTTCATTTTCCCAGAATAATATGCTAATTACTTAACAGTGTTAATGCTGCTTGTTGAAGAATGATGATTTAAGTGTAAATGATTTAGAATCGAAAGACAACCTGGGGATGGGGAGAGATAGGAGGAAGGAAAGAGAAGGGAAAAGGTTCATGTGTGTGTGTGTGTGTGTGTATGTGTTTGTGTGTGTGCATGCATGCATATGCGAGTTTGCTGTGTTGCTGACAGCTTGGACAAAGTAATTTTCTCTCAGTTTTCCATTTATTTCAAATGCCAACCTTTTCAAGCAAGCTCAGTATTCTTAGTTGCTTCATATCACTGGTATTCTGGTTATGCTGAAAGAGCATTTAGTTAGGAGTGAAAAGTTTAGCTTTATTTCAACCTCTAACCATCCCAATCATCTGTGGCCCCTTCCGAGCCTCCATTGTTCCCTGACAAATTAAGGGTTTGCATTAGAATATTGCCTTTAAAACATCTTCCTAATATAATTTCCTTGATGTGATGATGGTATTGTGGTAATGATGAGAGAGAGAGAGATCTTATCTTTTAGAGTTATAGGTGGTTAAATTATAAGTTTTCCAAGATTTATTTCAAAATAATCCAGTGGTTGGAGGTTGTGGGGACTGGATAAAATAAGACTGGCTGTTGGTTGATGGTTGTTGAAGCTGAGTGGTAGGTACATGAGGCTTCATTTCTGTATTCTGTGTGTGTGTGTTTGCATGCACACATACATATCCATACATATATATACACATATGCATATATGTATACACATACCTGTCTTCCAAACGTAAGCGTACATGATTTATTATTCCTACTGCTCCTTTTAAAACTTAGTATTTTAACTTGTGCTCCTTGTTAATTTGCTTTTTGTGCTATAGTCTTAGTCCTAATCCCCATCCTCAGAAATATGTCTTTTACTGAAATTAGCCCAGGATTGAGTATATAGAAAGTGTGTGTGTGTGTGTGTGTGTGTGTGTGTGTGTGTGTATGTATGACGATTCAGGTTCAAGTCTTGGTTCTTCCATTTACTAGTAAGTACTAAGTCCTTTTAAAACAACACTAACCAATGAGAACTTCATTGTTATCTGTTTAATGGGGATCATAGTCACTGCCTTCCATTTGTGAAAATCAATTGTGATAATGTCTATGACAAATGGAAGGTGTTCTCTTCCCCTGATGACATCCTACCAGTTGCAGGGTGAGTTCTGAAGAATTTCTGAACCTCTCTGCCGATGGCATTGAGAGCTTTGTTTTCTAATTTTGAACCAAAAGAAAATTTGCCTTGGGCGTTCCACGGCAGTGGGACCCCACCCATCTTTTACACACAAACCTACATATTCCCATTTCAAAACTGAGGTGAAGTTTGACTTACAGGGGAGAGAAAATAGCGGGGGGGTTCCTTATATTCAGTGCCTCCTGAAAGCCAACTCTCCTGAAATGACTATTTTCTGAGAAGGAAGGGGTGGCTTTCATTTTTCACCAAAACTATGTGGTTAGATGGAATATGCTTCCCAGTATCAATACAGAGTGGCCGAGATGTAATCCTGAAAAGAGTAGACAGAGCAGAAGCAACTGAGAGTCTTGTCTGAGACCATCAGTATTATAGTCACTTATTCTTGAACTTTTTTACCTGGGTGATTAGAATGTTGCCCTCTCGGCTCACACCAGAGAAAACCACAGAAAATGGTGATTAAAGGTCACCTGTATTTCTGGGTATCAGGCTTTGCTTAAGTTGATGGAAGGTAAAGGTCAGCACCAAGGCTTCCCTGGAGTACATGTGGCTTGTCTTTTATGCACGAGCTGCACTACATTTGCAAAATGTCAACTTTTAAGAGGGTAGAAATTAATTGCAAAGTCTACAGGTACAACAGGTTTGACTGTGAGATGGGGGAAGGTGGAGAGGTGGCGAGAAGTGTTTTCCAGACTGCACCTCAAGGGGAAACTCAGGGAGGGAGACTCTTTCATGGAGGCAGAGGCTTCTGTTTTGTCTGAGAGAAAAACTCACTGTGTTTGAGAGGCTGGAGCATCTTGGGGAGGGCTGTCAGAGCTTTTGGGAGATTGTGGAGACAGCCAGGTGGCATATCCCTCCTTCAGCATCTCCGCGGCTACCCTCGTGAAATACTCACTTGGCCATCAGTTTCCTGTGTACAAAAATACAAGCATGCTCCATCACTTTGCTGTTCTTTCTCTCACGTATGACAACTTTCCAATTATTTTTCTCACATGACAACTACTGGAGTAGGGGTGACGGGGTGGTTGAATTCACAAATGTATTCCTGCAGGTGGTTTTATTGGCAATCTGTTTTGCTTTGTGGAAAAAGCTTACACTCAGAGTATAATAAAATATAATTATTATATTATAAATATTGATTAATAATACTAATACTAGCAGCAGTAGAAATGAAATCTAATAGGTACATGACTTACTATGTGCCTGGCACTTTTCTCAATGCGTAACATACATTAGCTCACTTAATCCTCATAAGAACCCAATGAAGTATATACCATTATTTTTATTTTACCACATAAGGTACATTAAGGTGAAGCAAATTGCCCAAGACCACATAGCTAGTTAGAGTGGGACCTGAATCCAGACAGCCTGGCCCTGGGGTCTGTGCTTTTCATTGCTCTGCTGCAGAGCAGGAACATTTGGGGTGGGAGTAGGGGTGGGCTCAGATGCATCCCATGTCAGCCATGTGACATGCATCTTGTGTGTATATCCCACATGGTTTTCCAGGACTTACCTCTGCTTGTGTGTGAAACATTTGAGCCTCTCATAGAGTCTCACCTGCCCAGTTCTCTGCTCATTTTTCTCTGCTCTGTTTCCCCCACAAGCCCCCCTGGTGGACCTCACTCCAACCCACAGTGGATCTGCCATGCTGATGCTGCTCTCAGTGGTGTTTGTGGGGCTGGCAGTGTTCGTCATCTACAAGTTTAAAAGGTGCGTGTCCCTCTATCCACGTTCCCCCACCCCTGACCTCTTCCTTCTCCCTGACAGGTTCAGAAGCATGTGTTACAGTGATGTGCATAGCAGTGATGGTTTCTATTAATATTTTAGGAAGATCCCGGGGATTAATGTTTATGCCCAGATGCAGAATGAGAAAGAACAAGAGATGATCAGTCCAGTCAGTCACTCTGAAAGCAGGCCCAATGTCCCTCAGACTGAACTAAGGAGGCCTGGCCAGCTTATAGATGAGAAGGTGGAATCCCAGCTCATAGGTAAATGATTCCCAGTAGCCACCAGCTGTTCGGCTGAGTAGGCAATGGCTGACTCTCTCTCTAACCCCTTTCTGGCTTGACATAACCACTTTCTTTTGCTCTAACACCCCTGAGAGAAACAGCTAAGATGGCTTTTTCCCTGCTTCCTCTGATTGGGATGGGGGAAAAACAAACAAACCTCTTGCTTCTATCTAGTTTTTTTCTCTCATTAGTTTATTCCTCCTTTTGCAAAACCCTCCCTAAAATATTGGGCTTAAAATGTTAAAATGTTATATGTTTATGGGCAAAGAGCAAAGCATTTGCTTTAATAGTATATAAGAAGGAGAGGCCTCAGAGGCTAAGGCTGGTGGACCAGAGGGCTGGGCAGGGTTTGCAGGACATGGTATGTATTGACTAGAATGAAACATGGTAGCCTCAACTGGATACAGCTCTTAAGGAGGGCAAACTGCTCTGGAACACCAGTAGAGAAGTGACATAATGAGAGTGGCCAGCCTGATCCTCCAGGGAATTTTTTTTTTTTTTACATCTATTGGTAGTCTAGGAACTTTCCCTCAGGAGATTTGGAACCTAAGATTGAGGACAAGAGGCATAATGTTTGCAGACATCCAGGCAGTAGAGCATCCTGAGAGAGACCACTGGTGGGTGAGACTATTACAGAGCAGATTAGCAAATTTCTTCCTCTTTTTAGACTGTCCCTTACCAGAAGTTGTAAAATGGACTTTCTCATATTTCAATGGCTCTCTCTCTGCCTGTGAAGTAGGCATGGGAATCCAACAACGAGGTATAGAGAATCTGACGTTCACTTGCTAGATTCTGCTATTTATTGCAGCAGAAATTTTCCAGGAAGCTAGACAAACCTATGAAGCCACTATTGCTGATCCATTTCTCTGTCTGGTTCCTCCTGTCTGTTGGCATTAGGAGTTGAAGCCTTATATGTTTACATCTAGATCCTGCATTGCTGACAACAGTGAATAAATTATTATATAACCATTCATGCTCCACTCTAATGTGATAATGCCAAACCACCTAGAAGGCCTTTACATAAAATTTTTAATCTTACTTGGAAAACAATGAGTATGTAAACGGAAACATAACCCTCTTTAAATGAATATGGGAAAGGTCTGTGGCTGTGTTAAGGGGAAATGTAAATGCAGTGACTGGCTCCTATCATAGATAATGATAACAACTGCAGTCACATCTGGTGTCCGATTTTCACAGTGCACTTTCTTTTATTTGGAGAGGCAAGGTAATAAATGTGTGATTGCTTGGGGCTAAAAAGAAAAAAGTCTTTTCTGCCTTCAAGTCCAGAGAAGCATTCACCCTGTCTACTCATTCCTAAAGCTTCTAAGTGCATTTTTGGGGATCGTTTGGTTCTCAGTCGCATTTCCGTAGGGTATGAAGCACAGCCTCTGTTTGCTTTATTAAAGTAGTAATTCCTCCTTCTCCAGGAAGATATCGCAGCACATTGCAAAGTCTCTGACACCTTTCCCTTTCCAGTGTCATTAAATGAGTAAGTGTTACACGTTTTCTCTTAGGAGAGTAGCTTTACCCTCCCCTCCCTCCCCTTCTACTCAACCTGGTGACTCATCTCTCCGATTGCAAAGAGCAAGACACGCCACTCCGCCTTCAACGCCAAAGCGGGGATCTGCTGGGGCACAGTATGCAATTTAAGGAAAACCCCCAAAGGCTACAGGCGACCTGCTGATCAGGAAAGAATTTCGCTCTTGTCAAGTACATCATCCTTCATGACCACTAACTTTGTGTTTTTTTTCTTTCCTTTGTTGTTCTGTTTCCTATTTTGCCAGGAAGTATTTCCATAGTTGCTGAGAATCAAAGCACAAAAGAAATCCCTACCTATGTAAATGTTTGAATGGAGGACGCCAGTAAAAAAACAAAAACAAAAACAAAACAAAACATAAAATATAAACAATCAAAATCCAAACAAACAAACAAACACTCACTGCATCGGGACTTTTTAATTCTTCAGACACAGACAACAAGGGTTTTTAGCTTTAAGCCTGTGCATGTGGACAATACTCTGAGAACATGTCTGGAGGGGCAGTGTACAGGTGCTCTATTTTAATGGAAAACACTCCCCTCTCCCTCTTTCTTCTTCTCTCTCTTTTTTCTGATCGGTCGTGTTTGTAGAAAATTCATAACATATATAGGCCAAGGAAATCTGCATGTATTTTTGGAAATATTCTTGGCTCTAGATTTATCAGCTATTTTAGCATTAAAGGCTGATGGGTGGATTAGCTACCCCAGCTCCTTTCATAAGACACAAAGACGTGCACAGGAGTTTGAAACCCTGAGCTGTTTCTCTGTTCCACTTTCCATACTGTCATTTCCCTTCTAAGTTAGCTTTGGTAGCTCTGTTGGTCAGCAGTGGCCACAAGGCTGCTTTCTGCACTCTCTGTGGCCACAGGAACAAAGATGCGAGTTGAAGATCCCTTTGTGCCGGTAGAATAAGGAAGGAAGGGAGGCAGGGAGGCAAAGCATGTCAGAAACGGACCTTGGTTTCCTGTTCACCTCTTTCCACCATGATTGCCTCCCCTTGCAGCTTTCCCTACTCCTGCCCCAACTGCAGTAGGAAATGGAATCCCATTAGTTACCCATTGTCCTGTCTTCACATTTGTTTGTCATCCATGTGTGACCATGATCTGTTGATATCTTTGAATCTCTTCCCTCCAAACCCCAAGTAAGTTGTCCTTCAACTGTTCTCAGTTTTTCTTCCCAAACATATTGCTAGATTCTGGACATTAACCCTGACGTTTCCTAAATACTGGCCTGGCCTGTGCCGCCCCTGCCCCCACTACTCACAAGTTTCTGAGCCCTTTGTCAGTTTTGTACATTCCCAAGCATGCCAGCTTCTGTGCCCATGGACCTTGCTGCATCCTGCACAGCAGGGTTCAGTTTCATGTATCTTTGTCTTTTCCTCTAGAACCTGCCTTTTTCAAATATCCCTGCCTTTTCCCACCTGGAAACATATACTGTATGCGAAAGAGTTGATATATGCAAAGTAATTCAAACCTGGCCATGTACTTTGGAAAAGAAAGCATAGAGATGAATTGTGGTGTTCTCACACCTTAACGAAAATCTCGTGCGATCTGATTCCAGAAGATTCTTGTGAGAAATGTTTTGAATGTGTGACAATTTCGCAGGGCAATTTCCTCCTGTGACGGTTGCTGTTACCTGGTATTTCCACTCTCACAGTAGAATAGAAATGTTTGTGAAATAAAACTGATTTTAACTGGAAGGAGAAACAGGTTAATGGACTTTGTGTTTAAGAGTGTCAAACAGTCTGAGAGAATAAATGGGGGTCTTGTCTTACATTAGGGTGAGAGTTTGATTATTTAGGATGATCCCAGTGATTTCATGTGTGCTCTCTGACCTCTGAGTATCATAGTATCATTAAAGTAAAGATTTAAGTCTGTATAAAGGAGGAGAGTTACTGATTGGCAAAAAAGATTGGCACAAAGCATGAAGAAACCCCATTTTTCCCAGGGTAATCATGAAAGAAGGCTCAGAGAAAGAGGGAAACAAAAGCCTGTTCAGCAGAGGCCCCTTTAGTATTATGGACTGGGCAAAGCCCACTATAAACTATAGGAGAAAGAAGTTCTGATAAACCTCTTAGTATGCTCAGCCTCCTTCTTTGCTATGTCCCTAAGCCAACAGGGTATAACACAGGCCCTGGTGATAATGAGGGTGTCCTAAAGATCCTGATGTCCATGACTTCATGTAGTTCAGGCACAGAAAGAATAGCAAAGCTGCTGTCAGAAGTTTGTCAGGCAGAGATGTTTATGGTTGAGGATACCCCATATGAATCTGGGAAATGGGCTAGGCCTGAGGCAGTCACCTATTTGTAGAACTCAATTGATCCCCAACCTGCCAGGCTTCCTATCTCATAGGAAACATCCTCATTGATCCTCTTCAGTTGGAGTCTCCCAAATTTAATGTGGAAGACAAAGTGTTGGAAAATCAAAAGAGGCTCACTCAAACCAGCACAGGGAGTCCTCAGAGTTGCAGTTCAATTCATTTTAATTAGAAAAGTATGAAAGAGGTATAACACTCTTATTCTAGCACAGTGCCTTGCCTAGAGTAGTAGTATGAAAACTATTTGTTGAAGAAATAAATGAATGGAAAGACATAGGGAAGAATGGGCTGTAAATCCTAATTAAAAATAGAGGTCGACATGAGATACCTGGCATTTTGGGAAGTGACCAAAGATGGCCAGCTAGAGATTCAGCATCTCCAGGATCCTCATGTGCCTCTCCTCAAAGCTCCCTCCCATCTGTAGGAGATTAGTGAGGCAAGGTGCTGCTCAGAGAGGAGGACCTCATTGTTCTTAGGACCTTGGCCAGTTGTTCTCAAAGTGTGGTACCTGGATCAGCAGTATCACTATCACTTGGGCTAGTTAGAGATCCAGATTCTGGATCCATACCCCATACCTACTGAATTAGAAACTCTAGGGGATGAATAGTGGTGTTCTCTGTTGCTAAGTGACAGTGGGCCCAGCCACCTATTTTAACAAGCCCTCCCAGTGATTGTGATACATACTAAAGTTTGAGAACCATTGTACTAGGCCATTCCAGCTGAATCTCAAACAGAAGGCAGTAATGAGAGCCTACAAATGGGAGGGACCTAAGTGCCTACCTACTCGCTAATCGCAGGTGCAAACACACAAGGAGTTTGGTGGGCTTAAGGTCAGAGGAGTGTGTAGGGAGGGATGTATGTGGAAGGTAAGATTCAGGGCAAGCTAAAAATCCGATACTGCAACGTTTTCCAAAATCCCAGAAGGCAAACTGTGCATGTTCTACCCTGAACCACCCAAGCAACACTTTCTACCTTGCCTTATTTTTAATTGGATTCACTGTCCAAAATGCAGAGGTTTGCTTTGCTTTTTTTTCAGAAGTTCCAAACAGCAACTTTGAGAGCAGTGGGGTGCTTGGCAGCTGTTCTGTGTTTTCCAGGAATCCAACTGAGCATTGAAATCTCTCATTTGCCGACTTATTTTTATAGGAAGCCAATTAAAAAAAAAAAAAGTTTTCTTATAGTATTGGAACTACTTCTAATTTTAAAATGACTTTTTTGATGTATTTTTTGTTAAATACTATGTAGTGTAATGTATAATTGCTCTTGTTTATTGCTTTTACAATCATATTTATTAAACAGATAATGTCTCTAAAGTCTTTGCCTCAGGTATTTTTTTTTTTAATCCTAAACCCTTGGTGTTCATTCTAAATATAGAAGTGTTGCATGTATAGGATTTCATAAAGGCTAATTGCATAAGAAAGAGTAAACACCACAGGCTTGAGGTTTTTGGCTGTTTTTTACTAACAAGGCAGAATGTATGTACTACCTGAATTCTACCTGCATTTCAATTAACTATACAATGTCTGTTTATTAAATTACTTTGATTTAAAAATTAGTCCAAACTGGTTATTTTGGAACGTACATGAGTACGTGTTCGTTATTATTAGTTCAGAATTCGAAATTATTGATGGGGAACAAACCCATTCAAATTTGTTCATAACCTTGTGGTTACCAAAGGACCGAACCTGCATGGAATGAACTGAAACATGGGGAGTGGTAAAAAACAGCAGATGAGTAAAAACAGCTGTGGACCTGGAATCAGGAAAGAGGAGTTCGCCTCTGGCTATGCCAGCTGTGTGACCTTGAGCAAATCATTTTAACATATAAGAGCTTTAGTGCTCTTGTTCATATAATTTGAAAGAAGATCCCTTCCAGCTCTGCCTTTCCAAATACTATGGGTGAGTCATTCCCCAAGAGTCCCAAATATTTGATTTAAAGTTAGCAGAAAATAACGTGGTAGACTGGATCCATCTTTTCAGCCCTGTGGCTTGCCTACGTAAGTGGCATTTCTCCCTGGGCATCATTTGGTGCTGATATTTGGCTGAAACATTTGTACAGGCATAAAACCCTCCCTAGCCTTCCCGAAGGCCTCCGAGACACAGAGTGGTGTTGCTTCAGCTCAATCTCAGCATGTGTGAAACTTCCTGTTACTTTAGGTGGCCCTTAACCTTTCCATTCCCACAGACTAAATTCCTGAATCTTTATTCCTTTCCAGGCCAGAGCCCATGCACCTCCTTCCTATCAGGAGCAATGTATCACCTGTGTCAGGCAAACAAACAGACAGCATCCCTATACACGTCAAACAGAGGGGAGTTAATACAGAAAATGTGTTGCTGGGTTAATGGAAGCACAAAAATACCAAATAGGAGCAGGTGAGGCAACTCTAAGATCAGCCTCAGTTGGAAGCCTCTCACTTCCCTGTGCTGGAGAGATCTGGGTATTACCAGAGCCCTGGAGTCAGGACCACCAGGTTGAAACTGAAGTCATGGAGGACTTGTCTGGCAGGAGCTGGAGCCATGGAGGAGACGTGACTGCTACCTGTCCTGTGATGCTGCCCAAGCAGAGGGGTAGGGAGAAGTAGCTCGCTTTTTCCCTTGCTCTGGTCTTCTCTGCTGTTGCCGATCCTTTTAACTGCACAAACCCAGCCACAAGCCAGTGGGCCGTGGAGCCTGGGAAATGTTGTTTTCTGGAATACAAAGTGAACCGCGAGGGAGTGGGAAATGGATTTGAGAGAACACAGGCAGGTGACTGGCACAGCACCCCTTTCATGGCCAGCCCATATCATAACCAATATATCTCCCCCAACCCAAATGCACCAGGTACTGTAGCTCACACCTGTAATCCCAGAGCTACGGGAGGCCAAGGTGAGGGGTTGGTTGGGGGAGATTGCTTGAGCCCAGGAGTTCCAGCCTGCAGTGAGCGATGATCATGCCACTGCACTCCAGCCTGGACAGCAGAGCAGGACCTTGTGTCTAAAAAATAATAATATGTAATCCCAGCACTTTGGGAGGCTGAGGCAGGTAGATCACATGAGGCTAGGAGTTTGAGACCAGACTGGCCAACATGGTGAAACCCTGTCTCTACTAAAAATACAAAAATTAGCTGGGTGTGGTGGTGCATGCCTGTAATCCCAGCTACTCTGGAAGCTGAGGCACAAGAATCACTTGAACCCGAGAGGCAGAGGTTGCAGTGAGCTGGGATTGCGCCACTGCACGCCAGCCTGGGCGACAGAGTGAGACTGTCTCAAAACAATAAATAATACGTAGTAGGTGCTCCTTTCTCTGTGACTATGTTCACGTATTTTTCTTTAAACATCACATATTTAGAACTTGGCTGTATGTTTATTTGTGGCACTTACGCCTTGCTCACCAAATTCTACACTCGTTTACAGAAGGATCTTTATTTTATTCATTTTATTATTTCAGCATTTAGGACTGGGCATTGCCATTAGGGGGCACTAGATAAATGTTTGCTGGAACTCAGCCCTTGATTTTCAGCTTAGTGTTGTGAGCAAGTCCATTTTATTCAGTGATGATCTCTGAGGTGGCTTCACAGTCCGATTCCTCTACCCCAGCTAGCACCTCTAATTACATGTTCAGTTGGTGTTTGTCAAGAATCAACATATCCCTGCCCATCTCTGTTACCACTCAAGCTGCTGTATTCCCAGAGCTATTCTTAGACATTAAGTGAAATAATTGCAGTTTAAGAAGAAGAAAAAAAAATGGCTAGAAACTAGCATAAAAAACAAAGGTCTAAGTTTGATTTCTGGATTACTATTAAAATGTGTTTTCCTATTCCCCAAGGAGTTAACAATACTGTGAAAATGCATGTTAGTCAGAGGCTTGTATAGTAGGGAAGTCCAAAATAATTCCAGATGGACAAATACAAGGAAATGGCTGTTATAAAGTTTTTGTGCTAAACACATGGAAAGAGACCCGTGTTTTACAGCATAGAGATATTTATTGATCAGTGTGTGGTGGACACTGTTTTAGGCAGTGAGAATCTTCTGTGAACAAGGCAGAAAACATGTCTGGCTTTATGAAGTAATACCTGAGTAGGAACAATGAACAAATAATATAATTTAATGTAACATATGCAATGCCATCAAACATATAAGATAATTTCAATATATCAAAATGTAAAAATAACATGATAGGTGACGGGGCGGCCAGAGTGACTAGGGGTGGGGGCGGGAGATGGGGAGAGTTGGTCCTCGGAAACAAAAATGTCTAGATGCTGAACAAAAACCTCTTCAGGATCTGAAGGCTAAAAAGGAGACAGCCATTTAGACACCTGCATGGTCCCAGTATGTTCAAAAGCCACCTTAGAACAACTGTGCCCAGAAAACAAACAATTTTGAACCTAAACAACAGTTAGAAATGTTTCTGAGTTTAAGGGAAAATAGCTCTTCCATTGCACATAAGCAGGGTCTTTCCCAGAGATCATCTGTACACTCAGTTGCACTATTATGTAACATGTGTTTCCAAAATCATCCCTCTATGCCAAATGGTATAATAAAGCCCATAAAGCTTAGGAAAAAAGATGGGGCTGGGGCACAACACACAAAAACTTTGTCATATCTCAGTGTAATGTGTCTCCGGGCACATTTTTAAAAAGGTACAAACCGAATAAAAATGGTAGCATAGTTTTACACACACTGAATAGTTAAATACACAAAACACTTACCTTGAAAAAGACTTGAAGTTTGCTTATGAGAGTGGGCGTTGGAATGCCTACAGCATGTGAGTTATTGTGAAGTGGTAGAAGGGAAGTTACCTGAAATCAGACAGAAATTTGCAATACCAAATACAGATAATGTGGCTGTAACACACAAGGCAAGTGGACGCAGCCGGCAGATGTTTGAGGGGTGTGTGTGTGTGTTCTGTGTACTTTTACACAGCTGATTTCAGCTGGATGCAGTTTTCTGCATTCATCTAGTTTTTCTCATTGACAAAATCATGCATAAGCAAATACAGCATTTGAATTATCCTCAAATTCTTCCTTAATATATCAATTACATTAGAACAAATTTATGTTTTCAAAACTGCTTGATAGCAGAACTGACTATAATTTAGGTGGCAGTTTAAAAGTACTGGTAGAGGGAAGAAACCCTACTTGACAGCAGAGGAAAAAGATAAGGAAATAGTGCTAATCCTCATTAAAATTGTCACCTCAGCCTGAGACCTTTCAGTGTAGGGACCAGCAGCCCTATTCACTTACACAGACCTTAGAACATCATCCAATTTCCACCTACCCCAGCAACAAATATTTAGAAACAGGCTTTGACCCAAACAATGTTAAGTTGTGGTTAGAACCCCTTGTTAAAGAAAAACATGGCTGGCCGGGCACAGTGAATGACACCTGTAATCCTAGAACTTTGGGAGGTCGAGGAGTTTGAGACCAGCCTGGGCAACATGGGGAAACCCCTTCTCTAATAAAAATACAAAAATTAGCTGGGTGTGGTGATGCACACCTGTAATCCCAGCTATTCAGGAGGCTGAGGCATGAGAATCGTTTGAGCCTGGCGGGTGGAGGTTGCAGTGACCCAAGATTGCACCACTGCCCTCCAGCCTGGGCAACAGAGCAAGACTGTCTCCAAAAACAAACCAACAAAAAAACATGGTGTGAAAAAGACATTTATGAAGTATTTGAAGGAAAGTAAAACAGCTGAAGATTTGAAATGTTTAAAAATAAATTCAAGGCCGCTAGATAATCATAAAACACTTTATAAACAATACTAAGTAAAATATTTCAATATATGCATTTCTATTTTCATAACATCTTTCTCTTTATGTGAATATTAATAACAGCTTGTAGATGCAGAAAAAGGATTCAGTAAGCACTATGTATAAACTAGTTAACAAACAATCAATATATATGCATATAATAAAATATAATTTCGTTAAAACTCTTTTCTAAAGAAGGACATGAGAAATGTTTCACATGATGTTAAGAGAAAGCAGAATTTAAGACTTTCATAGTATAATTTGTACAGAAAATAAGGACAGAACGAGATGAAAAATACTAACACAGGTTATTTCTAACTTGTAAAACTATGGGTGTTTTAATTCCCTTGATCTTTGTTTATATATCTTCTAAGATATTCTAATATTTGCTAATTAAGTTAGTTATGTAATTATTGTAAATAATATATAAAAGTTATAGGAAAATTCATAATTGTTGACAGCATATACTTAAATTCCTTTAATAAGTTAAAAACAACTTCTCTAGATAAGACAATTTTTTACCTTATGTGTATCAATTTAAATTCATATTGAGATACAAATATTATTTTGCAATTATGGCACCTGCAGTTTAACTCATGAAATTTCAAATGTTTACAATTTTTAAACAGTTTAACTTTGTGATCCATGTGTATATATGTAATATACATGTACACACAGACATATATATACAGATATATATACATGCATGTAATAACATTTTACAGTATAAGTGTAAGGTAAATATGTGTACATATATATTTATACATTATTTTATTTTATTTTATTGATTTATTTTTGAGACGGAGTTTCACTCTTGTTGCCCAGGCTGGAGTGCAATGGGGCGATCTCGGCTCACTGCAACCTCCGCCTCCCGGGTTCAAGTGATTCTCCTGCCTCAGCTTCCCGAGTAGCTGGGATTATAGGCATGCACCACCACGCCTGGCTAATTTTGTATTTTTAGTAGAGACGGGGTTTCTCTATGTTAGTCAGGCTGGTCTTGAACTCCCGACCTCAGGTGATCCACCTGCCTCAGCCTCCCAAAGTGCTAGGATTACAGGCATAAGCCACCGCGCCCAGCCTATACATTATTTAGATATGTGCAGCTACACATAGAAGTAAACACTCTTGCATAGATACAAAACAACAATATGGTAATAGTAGTTAGTTATGGTTCATAAACATACAGAAACATGTGCTATTAATGGGCCTAGACCCATTGCTTGACTGTGTGTTGAGTATCGCAAACCAATACTGTCTGAAGATTTTGTTGTTCCTCGGTAATCATGACTGGGGTAAGCAAGAGAAGTGAAGGCAGAAGAGTTATTTCTAGGGGAGAAGATGCAAACCTGCTGGAAGATACCCTTGCTGTAACTTGTGTAGCAACCTTCTTAATTGCCTAACCAGCAGCCACTCACTTTCCTTAACACCCTTCAGCCACAAGAAGAATGCCAACCTTACTTAATAACAGCACCAAGATATAATACCTCACATGCACATACATACATACATACACACACACTTGACAAATGACAGAGACTAGCCTCACCAAGTGTCTGCCGAATAACTGGAGGCAGGAGGTTCTCATTGGCCAAGGCTAGGGCACAGAAGCAATGCTGATAGTCAGGTTGTGAGTGAACCAAAGTCTCAGTGAAAAGTCCAGGGCCAAAAACACTGGTGTGAGCACATGTGAACACTAAGTGCAAAGGGGCAAAGGCTACCAAGATTTTAATTCCCAAGCGCACAGTTAAACGTTACCTAAAAATAAAAGATGTGAATGAAGCAAAAGTGTAGAATGAGGAAGTTGTGAGTGAAAAATATACGAATGATGAAAAAATAGTAAAGCAGCTACCATTTTGAATATAATGTGTCATCTGTGTACCCATTATCTCATTTAATCCACACAAACTCTCGAAGTAGGAATGGTTTTCTTCTTTTACATTTGGTGAAAGTGGAGCTTGGAGAACTGAAGTGATTCACTTGTTCATCATGATCATGGAGTAGGAGGTCTGTATGACACCAAAATGCTCGCTTTTCTTCTGCGCCGTATTTTTTCCTAAAAGATGAATAATATGTCAATCTCCTCTTTGGGGTATATAATAATTGAAGGGTTGAGCTAACTCAAAGAGTGGCTCAAGAAGACTTGAAAACTAGGTGGGCCTGAAGCTTGGGAAACTTAGAAACCCCACTGGATCTGTTCCACATCAAAGCCCACTTACGTGCTCGAGTAAATCAGAAAACTGCTCAATACAACGGAGACTGTTTTCCAAATTCTCCAGTGTGCTGCATTTCAGATGGCACAAAAGCAAGGCAGACACAGTTGTCCTTAGTGACATGCGCAGCCAAGTTTCTGTCTGGAAGAATGCCCAGAAAAAGATTCAGTTCTTCCTTCTTGCTCTGCAGAGCTTTTCTCCTGGTTGGGATTTAATAGATGTCCATAGGGATTTATGGAATCAAATCTGGGCATCTGGAGAGGGAGGGTAGATGTAAGTTGGTAAAATCTCTCTCTCTGGTTAAAGTACTACACTGGCAAGCACATGGGAAATAATTGACCTGAGATGGGATTTTTCTATAGAAACAAACTGACATTGCTTCTAGGATATCTAGGAGGGCAGATTTGGTTTGTTTTAATATGGCAGACAAATCGGAAAGTTATTTTGTTTGTTTAGTGCATCATTCTAGATGTTATTTCCAAATGCACTGTAAATATATCTTTTTAGCCTCTTGAATTTACACAAATATAGTCTAAACAGTGTTGAGATAGACAGAAGAATCAGTAGTTTGATATAAGTAGAGGGCAATGGGCTATAGGAAAGGAGAAGAGTTAAAGGTGGTGATTTGTGGTACATTCACTATGTTATAAGGAAAAAGGAATACATGATTTAAAACCTGCAAACACTTTAAGGTAGGTATGTTTATTTTATAATGTGGAAACATCAGTCTGGAAAGTTCAATTCACTTGTCTAAGATCACATGGCCAGTAAACTAGGAAAGTCAGAATTTCAACCCATGATTCCTAATCCTCTTTCACTCTACCCATACACTCCTCCAGTCTTCCTACAGGTAAGCCGCAAATAAGAGATGGTTCAAAACAACAAAACTGCATGCTCATGCAGTTCTCTGCTCCAAATGTGGTTGTTGGAAAGAGTTTACACGAGGAAAAGAGCTATTCTTGTAAATGCATATACCAGATTCTGCCTCAGCCCCACTTTGAATTACACAAATAGAGACTTATTCCTTTCGACCTTAGTTGATATGGTACACAGGGGAGGTGGGCCGTCTAAGCTCTCTTGAACTAAAGAACTGATATTTGCTACTCACTTCAGTAAACAAGTGGATATAGAGTAAGTATTTTCCAAATACCAACACTAAGTCATCCGAAACCCAGCAGCTCATACAGCACCCAGAGTGCTACATATAAGCCATATATATAGATATGGCTTAACCTATTAGAGATGGGATCCCCTACGGAATTCCCATGCTCATGCATGAATTTTCTCTTCAGTGGCCTCATTGCAGGGCAAGACCTTCCTTCTCCACTTTGGCCCATGAGTGGAAAATTTCTTTAATACAGAATGAAGCCTTGTGGCTCTATTATATCTGAAAACATTTTACTAAGCATTTTTTTGGTTTGGTTGGTTTTGTTCATATATATATGTATGTTTGTTTGTTTTTGTTAACTGATGAGAGCCCACAGTATTATTGCAAACAGCAAAGAACTGGTTTGGGATGTCCTGATGAGTCATGAGGCATTTTGAAACTCAAGTGGGAAGGAATAAGAAAGCAAGGCAGGAGAGGACTGGTGGGGCAGAAGGACTGACCTATCGGAGAGACTGCTTGTTGAATTTCATGTAGCGTCTGATTTAATGGACTGTGCTGGGCCCAAGCCCACAGGCGAAACACATTACCTCAAGATTCCAATCAGTGATTATGTCAGCAATCTAGCTGGTGGTTGTAAGCCAGGTGGTCCCTGGGTATCCACAATAATCAATATCAGTCTGTTATGAATAAGGGACCTGGGATGGGAGGTAGGCAAAGGCTAACTCTGTAGGACAGAAGGTGGCAGAGACAAATCAGGGCATCTGGGTTCAAGGGGCCATTGTCAGGTATCTGGAGTCTCAGCAAAAAACTGAGGCAAAGGCCAGGTCCCCACATCTAAGCCATGCAGTGAAGACAAAGTAATAGCTGAGATTCACCAAAAATATGCGTTCAGAGCTAATCTCAGGCACACCAGACCCACATCTAAAAGCATCCTAACCTCCCAGATTGAACTGGTGACTCGTAACATACTTTAATCTTTGGTGGCACTGGTTCTGGGACACAGTGGATTCCAGTTCCTCCAAATTCTCTGGGGATTGATTAGTAATTTCAGAGCTTCTTTGACAGTCCCTCAAAACTGGCATGAAGAAGGGCCACCTACATAAAAGCAACCACCCGTTTGTTATCAGGTTCAAATGAATTTTTTATCTGCACTTTCTTTCCCTCCACATTTTCCACATTATCGTTTTTTCCTTTGTTATCAACACTGACTTGGTCCTAGTTCTGCATAGTTTTAGGGGACAACAAATAAAATAAGTGAACATGTAACCAACTTGCCTTGAACTCTTATGCAGATGAAACTTTTTGATGAACCCAGCAGGATTGTGTACTTTGTGTATATGCAGATGTGCTCTTTTTGGTAGAATGTGTGGTAGGAACAAAACAAAAGCGATGCCAGGATGGTTTATTAAGCATATTACAGCAGCCCACTCTGCATAATTTCAGAGGCATTACAAATGGGACTGCCATCTACTCCTGGGAAGCAGAGGCAGAAAGTAACTCAGCGTGAGTTCTAATTTTCAGAGCTCAGAGGATATCCATATTAAGAATCAAGTCAGCACTGCTTCGCTAGAATCATAGATGCACAGAATTCTAGGGCTCAAAGGGAAATTAGAAGTAATTCTCTAAGTATTTTTGAGTGCTGATTATGTGCTATGCATCATGCTAGACCATCGACTTGACCAACACCTCATATGATCAAGTTTCAACAATTTCTTCATGAACACATAAGTTAACAGCAAAGCAAAGACTCCTGCATCTTCTTTCCTAAGCCACATTGCTAGTCATGGTTCTTTTCTCCATGGTACCTTCCTCTATCCCCTTCTATGCAGAACACAGCCAAGATCCTTAGAATGAGTAGAAAAAAGTTCAAGAACTGTGAGAAAAATAACTTCCACAAAATCCATGGTTTGAAGCCATGAGATGTCTCTCAACCCATGAAAAATAAAGCATTTGAGGCCAGGCATGGCTGCTCATGCCTGTAATCCTAGCCTTTTGGGAGGCTGAGGAAGGCGGACTGCTTGAGCCCAGGAGTTCGAGACCAGCCTGGGCAACATGGTGAAACCCTGTCTCGGGGAAAAAGTTAGACAGGCGTGATGGTGCACACCTGTAGTCTGAGCTATTCAGGTGGCTGAGGTGGGAGGATCACCTGAGCCAGGGGAGGTCGAGGCTGTAGTGACCTGTGATTGCTCCACTGCACTCCAGCCTGGGTGACAAAGTGAGACCCTGTCTCAAAAATAAACAAATAAATAAATAATTGAAAAGGAAGAGAAAAAGAAAGCATTTGTTTATGAGTCTATTCACTCATCCAACAAACACAATCTGAATACTGAATCACAGGACAGTCTCTGAAGCGTATAACTTTAAAAGTAGCCATCTAGTCATCAGCTAGTAATAAAAAAATCTCTAACCCTCACTTGCATCTTTCAAGGAATATTGCTAGGGACGTGATTCATAACTCCAGCAACAATTCTCAAAAGCACCTTTTTCTACACCTCCCAGTTTTCCCCTCACAACTGCTTGGGAGTCTCAGTCAAACCTGTGCTCCTCCAGCTTTTTCTTTATCTTCCACTTCGGCCTGCACTCACCTTCCTGGGTTTTTTATTGTGTAAATCAGTTTAGATTGCTGCTTAAATCTACTCTCTGGTCTAGTCTCTACCCGTTCACCTGATTCTTCATTCCAAAAGGTTCCTTTTAAACAACTAGATGAAGGGAAGAGAGGAGAATGCTTACACTTTAATAAATCTTGTCTGAAAATTGTATGTATGAATATGTCACATAAGAATTAATTAAATTGTGTACAATTACATGTCAACTAAAAATAAAATTTTGAAAAAAGAATAATTAGAGGAAGTGGCATCAGGAAAATTTGGTAATATGTTAAGCACTAGAAACCAGAAATAAAGGAGTTAAATGTGAGATTTGGAGCCGGAAGTATAACAATTCTCTTTGAAAAGAAGGTGTTGGTAAACATAATGGTTTTGGATTTAAATACACTGCATAGAAGCAATAAGGACTGCTGATGACATTGGTGAGAGGTACCAGCAGATAGCATAAGGTAATCAAAATGTTGTAAGAGGTCTGTAAGGTGGCTCATGCCTGTAATCCCAGCACTTTGGGAGGTCAAGGCAGGTGGATCACTTGAGGTCAGGAGTTCGAGACCAGCCTGGCCAACATGGCAAAACCCTGTCTCTACTAAAAATACAAAAATTAGCCGGGCGTGGTGGCATGTGCATGTAGTTTCAGGTACTTGGGAGGCTCAGGCAGGATTCTTGAAGCAAGAATCTCTTGAATCTGGAAGGCAGAGCTTGCAGTGGGCCGAGATCGTGACACTGCCCTCCAGCCTGGATGACAGAGTAAAACTGTGTCTCAAATAAAATAAAATAAAATAAAGTTATAAGAGGCAGAGAAATGTATAAAATCCAAGACATCAAAGGCACTTTAATGAAGGAATAAAAAAGTCTTAAATATGTAAGCAGTCCTGGAAGGTGTCTCTATGAACAAAAGGTATATGGTCATAATGGTGGTTCTACTTCAGAAAGATCATTTGAATTATGTTGAGTCTTTTTTTTTTCTGGTGGGGGAGGTGTCATGAGTATAGTATATTTTCTAAAGATCCACTGACAATTATTAAAATGCTTTCTGGCATTTAAAGTGAAATGCTTCAGTTATTTTTAAATGAAAAAAAAGGGCTTATTTTTGTAAAACCCTTGACGGCCCAATGATGCCACATAAATAAACTAAATGGACTGTGACTCTTCTATATTTCAATTATTCTAAAGAAGCAGGACATTCTGTAGATGTGATTCCTAGACTGCCTTTTGGTAATAACTAGTCATTCTTATTTGTTCAGCTCAGGATTAACTCATTTCTCACCATGGCCAGCTGCTTAGAAATTGCTGTAGTAGGGCCAGTGAATGAAATTACAAAAGGAGATTTTTATCAATGTGCATGGAGTCTCTAATGGCAGAGCCTCAATTCGCAAGTTACTAATGGATTGTCCTGCACCAAAGGTCAGGGTACTGCTACCAATATGCCTTTTGGAGTTAGATCTGAATTAATGTTCTGGATCTTCCTCTTACGGATTGTTGTGGGCCAGCAAGGTTTTCTTTTCTTTCTTTTCTTTCCTGGCCCTTCCTCTTCTCTCTTTTTTTAAATTTTTTCTTTTTCTCCTTCAACTCAATTGTATAAAATGTAATATACAGCAACTTCAAATGGTTAACGTGTGGTTTAAAAATATAATCTACAGAAAATATTTAGTGAAGGGTCTGGTATGTACTAAGCAGTCAATAAATGCTGGTTAGGAACCGTGGCAGTAGTAAGCAATGCTAGTAGCAGTACAATAGTACAAATGTTTATACCTGGTTGGTTAAGTTAATAGATGATAAACATGGCATAAATGCAGTATTGCCATGTATTAGTTTGGGTTCTTTGGAGAAACAAGACCAATAGGATATATACATATAGAGAGAGATATATTTTAAATAATTGGTTCACATGATAATGGGGCCTTAGACTGAAATCCACAGGACAGGCTGGCAGGCTACAAATCCCAACAAGAGTTGATGTTGCAGTCTTGATTCCTAAGACACAATTCATTCCTCCTCCCGGGAGCATAGTCTTTTCTCTTAAGGTGTTTAACTGGGTGAGGTTTACCCACAATATGGAGGGTAATCTGCTTTACTCAAAGTCTACTGATTTCAATGATAATAAGATCTAAGAAAAAAAAATGCTGTCATGGCAACATCTAGACTGTGTTTGACCAAACAACTGGGCACTACTGCCCAGCCAAGCTGGCACACAAAATTACCCAGCACACGTCGTCAGTACCCCAGACTATACACTTTTTTCATATAGGAAAGCTGGTAGATTGTCATTGTCTAAGAAATGTCACACAATTATGTGACAGTCTTGAAGAAGAAAATATAACTTTTTTATCTTCCAGATTAAAAAATTGAATGGGGTTTGGCACCTCAGGAGGATGGAAGCATTTACAAGTCACTGCCTACTTTAAAGGCATATCAGATGGCTGACTCATGCCTAACTATTCTGTTCCCATGGGAGAGTCTAGCAAGAACAGGCCTCAATTTACTCACATGACTAAATTAAATGGACAGAGTGTAACAGGACTTGAGATGCCCCCATCGTAAACGCAAAAGCACCAGGCAGGAGAAATCAAAATTCTGCCTTTGCTAAAGCAGCTACTAGTGCCTAAGGACTGAGATAGAATTTTGTTTTTTTAGTAAAATTTAAAATGTTAACTGTTTTTGCATAAGCACACTTTCCTCAAAGTAAAAGCATGAAGAACAGCACTTAAACATATAACGGATAAAAGAAAAGAAAGAAAAGGATTAGAGATAAATTTCTCTAGCCAGGTGACGAATGAAATCGAGCACAATTTTTTAATATCAGGGAGGTTTCATATACATCCTGGTCAAGCAGAGCCAGAGTGGTGGACACCCTGACACAGTTCAGAAATAGCAGCTCTGGAAGAAGTGGGCCCAAAGTCAATAGAGAGATGGAGCAGAAAAGAGGACGGAGTCACGCTCCTGACCAACCAAAATAGTTGTTCCAGTGTCCTCATCTGCAGAAATACCAGATGACGCAAAACATATTCTTTGTTTCTGAGATGGAGTCTCACTCTGCCGCCAAGGCTGGAGAGCAGGGGCACGCGATCTCGGCTCACAGCATCATCCGCCTCCTGGGTTCAAGCGATTCTCCTGCCTCAGCCTCCTGAGTAGCTGGGATTACAGGTACGCACCACCACGCCCGGCTAATTTTTTGTATTTTTAGTAAAGACGGGGTTTCGCCATGTTGGCCAGCCTGGTCCCAAACTCCTGACCTCAAGTGATCCGCCCGCCTCAGCCCCCCAAAGTGCTGGGATTATAGGCGTGAGCCACCGCACCCAGCTGACCCAAAACATATTCTTCTCTTCATCTTTCATTCTAAGTCTCTATCCTTCTGCTGTACTTAAGAGAAGCATTCATGTCTGTATTTCCTTAAGGAAAAAGTTTTCAAATAATGATGAAGCTAAAAGCCTCTCTGATCATCATGAAAAACTTTACTACATTTCTTTTGGGAACAGGATTAAGATAGGAAAGAGCATATTAAACAGAGAATAGATCATCTTCCAGATTGGCTGAAACAGCAATGGCAATAGAGAGTATTTTGGGATATAAAGCTAAAGAGATGGGTTGGTGATAGATCATGGAAGGCCTTAACTAACAGACTGAAAAGATAGGTCTTTATCAAGAGACGAAAATTCAATTCCAAAGCCTTTAGAAGTTTTTAGCAGTGAAATGGTATGCTCAGAACTCTGCTTTTAAAGTTTACTTTGGAGCAGAGTGTAAGATGGATGGTGTATTAGTTATCTATCACTGCATAAGATATTGCCCCAGAATGTTGCAGCTTAAAAAAACAAACATTGTTACTTCTGCAGTTTCAAAGAGGTAGAAATCCAGAAGTGAGTAAGCTAGGTGATTCTGACTCAAGGGTTTATGAGGCTGTGGTCAAACTGTTGGCCAGTACTACAATCGTAGGAGGACTTGAGTGGGCCGGAGGATCCCCCAAGATAGCTCAATCTCATGGCTTTCACTGGAACATTTAGTTCCTCACCACATGGGCTTTTCTACAGGCTGCCTAAATGTCTTCATGCCATTTCATGACATAGCTTCCCCTAGAGCGTTCCAAGAGAAAGTGAATGAGGAGGAAGCCTCATGCTTTTAATGACCTAGTCCCTGAAGTTGCACCCTGTCACTTCTGCTCTATTCTATTATTAGAAATAGGTCACTGGCCAGGCGTGGTGGCTCACGCCTATAATCCCAGCACTTTGGGAGGCCAAGGTGGGCAGATCATAAGGTCAGGAGATTAAGACCATCTTGGCTAACACAGTGAAACCCCGTCTCTACTAAAAATACAGAAAATTAGCCAGGCATGGTGGAATGTGCTTGTAGTCCCAGCTACTCGGGAGGCTGAGGCAGAAGAATCGCTTGAACCCGGGAGGCGGAGGTTGCAGTGAGCCCAGTGAGTGAGACCCCGACTCCGTCTCAAGGGAAAAAAAAAAAAAAGAAGTGGGTCACTAAGTCCCGCCTACTCTCAAACATGGGCAGGGGCAGGAGTCAGAGGAAGGAACTGGGCTCCAACTCTTGAAGGGGGAGATAACAAAGAATTTAGGGACATGAATTATTAATAAGACCAATATAGATGGTTTATCATTGGAATGTCTTAGGGATTTTTACCTTACATCTGGTGCCTCCCATTCCAGAGGATATTTGGGGCAGGAAAACAAATCAGAAGTCTGGTGCAATGGTAAAGAGGCCAAACAAGGAGACCTCAGCTAAGGCAGTGTGTTGAAGAAGAGGAACGTCAGGAGAAACATTTATGAGGATAAATTATGAGGGTTATTTTTAGCAAGACTTTCAGTAAATTAGATGTTAAGAACTATTCAAAATTTTCTTATTTTTAAACTATCTGTCGTCATCAGATAGGGTATATGGGACTGGTCAGATGATGGCGTCGTTGGCAAGAATAAAGAAGTTAGAGGACATGTTGAGGAGACACAGAGAGATAATGTGTTTGCTTCTGCAAAGATTGACTTTGTAATATCAGTGGCCCTCCCATGTGCAAACATCTAGCAGGCTGTTGAAATACTAACCTGGAACTGAACCATGAAAAATAGGGGATGAGCAATAATATAAATAAGCAATAATATAAACTCGGCAAGGAATGGCTTGGCCAAAGGGGAAGGAAGGAAGACGGTTCAGTTTAGCCTCTTGAAAAATGGATACATTTGCAAGAAGGAGGAAAAAACCAGAATTTTTGAAAGGAATCAAGAAAAGAGTTCAGAATTGCACGGGACATGATAGCAGGAGGAAAGGGAAGATGAGGTCAGTTTGCAGTGCCGAATGTTGTGAGAGGTCAGGAAGGAGCTGGACTGTGTGGGGACAAGTGTGTTCAGAGATTGTGCTGTCTGTGGTATCTAGGAGAAGGTTATAAGCAGGATGGGAAGTGAAGAAAAACACATGGCATGGAGTTGAGCAGTGAGAGGAAAACCTCAGTAGTGTGCTGAGAAAGGTTTAACAGCTGGCTCTCCATGTGGGTGAGTGGGTGGAAACCCTGATGTGTACCATTTGCTGGATTCCAGTGTGTAAATATTTCTACCATGGCCAATTTCAAGCTACCCATGGTTAATAACTGCCTCACAAGTTCCAGAAAAACTTAGCCATCAGTTCTCACAAGCCGTTATGAGCTGGCTACAGTACATCACTGGAAGAATTGAAAGATAAATGCATATGTTCATCTTCTAAGCCTTATATTATATGTAAGGCATTCTTTTGAACTTAAAACAAATATGGGCCTGGTATAGTGGCTCACGCCAGCAATCCCAGCACTTTGGGAGGCCGAGGCAGGCAGATCACCTGAGGTCAGGAGTTTGAGACCAGCCTGGCCAACATGGTGAAACCTCATCTCTACTAAAGATACAAAAATTAGCCGGGCGTGGTGGTGGGAAACTGTAATCCCAGCTACTTGAGAGGCTGAGGCAGGAAAATTGCTTGAACCCAGGAGGCAGAGGTTGCAGTGAGCTGAGATCGTGCCACTGCACTCCAGCCTGAGCAACAGAGTGAGACTCCATCTCAAAACAACAACAACAAAAAATAAACGTTAACATACACTTATGCCCTATAAATGTGGAAAAGCATGATAGTGTCTCAGAAAGCTTTCCATAAGCCCCATAATTTTCAGAAGCCAGAGAAAATCTTTTTTTGTCTTACCCTCTTGCCTCCCCCATCAATGTTACAGGGACACCTGGGGTTCACATAGCCATCCAGAGTTCACATTTCCCTTCTTTTGTCTCTCCCTTCCTTTCTGTCACTTTTTCCTTGGGGATGACTTTACCTCACAGCAGCTACATTTTTCCATTATGAATCTTTTGCATTAAATGCTCACATTCTTCATGGATGAAGTATTGCAAAAACAAGCAAGCCTCTTACTTTCTAATACCCACTGTCTCTCAGAGTAGAATTTTGATATGTCATACTTAAAGCCTTCTTCCACACCAGGGATAAGAATAGTGGGGGACAAAAGGACAAATGAGGAAGTGGCCTAGGTCTTCCCACACTTAGAACATGTAAAATATTCACAGTGCAAAACTAGCTACTCACTATCTCCCACTGTTAGAACTTGTGTAATTTTCATCATCATTTAGATTTTGATCAATGGTATCCTTGTTTTTGAGCCATCAGACCCCATGAAGAAATCCTCACAAAGACAATCCAAAGACAAGGGCTCACTTTAACCTGCAAGTATTTCTGCCATGCCAGGGCTGAATATGCTTACCGGGGAGTTCTAAAGAAACTCAGTGCCAACATTTATTCATGATGTATGTTCTTCCAAGCCTAAAATTACCAGACTTGAAAGCTGTGTGATTTTAAAATGAATTGATCAAGACCATAACTGTTAATAAAATGCATGACTACAGTCTGTATATTAACTACGATCTCTGAGAAAATATACTTGGGAATCACAGAGCCGTATTTTGCACTTGGTCTTAGAATCCTCATTTTTAAAAATCCCACTGCTAATTAAATCCAACTGAATATTTCCTTTACCTGAAGATAGAGAAGTGCTTCTTGTTTGTCAAATCCCTTTCAGCCAAATAACCACTTAACTAATCTCAAATTGAATATCTTATTTAAGATTTTGAATTATCCTTTCTCTCCAGAGAGCTGCTGTTGAATATTGTAATAGCATTATCCAGAGAAATATTTCTTATCCTCTTGACTGAAGGAAAGGGGGAAAAAACCTGTTTCGTTATATCACTGAGTAGATTGAAATCTGGGAAAATGAACAAGCTGACATTTTTAAGCCAAAGACCATTAGTAGGAGGCAGAAGTGGCTTTCATCACTGCATACAAATCCTAGTCCTGAGCTCACCGAAAAGAAAAGAGAAGTTTGGTCTTTTGCTACCTAGACTAATTTGATGATTCCTGCTGAGAGTGACTGGGATGACAGCATATCATAGGGAAAAGAGAAACAGACCTGTCTCCTTCACTTACTACCTTTGTGATCTTCGATAATTTACTTAAATACTTTGAACTGCAGTTCAAATGGCATCTTAGACATTCCTGAAATAGTACCTGACTTTTTGCCATTAAGGCCTATTTTAATTGAAATTATATCAAAAAAACATATTGCAAAATTAACTCATTATTTCTCTGTTCATACCATGAAATGGCTCACCATTTCACTCTATTACAACCCTACATCCTTCATCTTTTCAGTGGCCTATGATCTGTCGCTCTGTTACAGCTCCAACCTCCATCCCTGTTCCTCTGTCCTGTGCTCTCACTGTGCCAGCCACACTAGCCTCCTGCCTGTCTTTTAGAGAAGTGCACTCTTACACCAGGCCCCTGCACTTCTTCCTGGAATGTTCTGATTTCCCACAGGGCTTGTCCTCTCACTTATATCTCAGTGAAGTTTTCTGAAATGGCAACACTTCAACACGGCTGCTAACACTTCTTACCCTTCTGTTAAAAGATAATTTATTAAAAAAATCTTCAGTCTCATATAAATATCTGTCACGGTTAATTTTATGTGTCAACTTGGAGAGTGTTTTGGAATGAGATTAACACTTAAATTCGTGAATTTCAGTAAGTAGGTTCTCTTCCAAAATGTGGGCAGCCCTCATTCAATCTGTTGGAGGCCTAAGTAGAATAAAAAGACTGGCCTCTCTGAGCAAGAGGGAATTATCCAGCAAACTACCTTCAGATAGGAACTGCACCTTTGGCTCTCCTGGGTCTCTGGCTGCTGGCCCACACTGCAGATTTTCAACTCTCCAGGCTTGATAGTTGTAGGAGCCAATCCCTTATAATAAACCTCCCTCCATATTTATACACATCTTATCAGTTCTGTTCCTTTGGAGAATTCTAACTAATACAACATCAAATTAACAAGTGTCAAATATTTTACTTAACTCACTAATTAATGAGTAAACCACTAAGATGTTAAGACAGATGACAATGAAAATTGAACTTCAGTTTCCTTGGGCCAGGCATATGGGCATAATTATTTCCTCTGTGTAGTTGTCTTAACAGGCTGCAATCAAAGTGTTGACCAGGGCTAGGTTATCACACAGAGGATCAACCAGAGAGGCATCTACTTCCAAGCTCAGATTGTCAGCAGAATTATCTTCCCACAGTTGTAGAACTGAGGACCTTGCTTCTTGTTGGCTGTCAGCTAGAGGCTGTCCTTAGCTCCAAAAGGCCACCTGAAATTCTTGTAGACCGATCCCCATTCCTTCCCATGTGAGTTTTAATTATATGGTCACTTACTTCATTAATCCTGCAAGGAGATCCTCCAGAGCAAGTCTGCTAGCAAGACGCAGATGTATATAACATGAAGTAATTATGGAAGTGACATCCCATCGCTTTGTTATATTCTGTTGGTGAGAGTAGAAGCAAGTCACAGATCCATGATTACTCAAGGGGAAGAAATTACACGAGGACACAAATACCAGAGTTGTGTACTATTGTGATATACCTTAGAGTCTGTCTGCCACACAGCCAAAGTCATTCAAAGACTCACACTCCTATGGAATCATATACTCCTTGGGGGGTCCACTAGATAAGACAGCCATTTGGAAGAATGCCAGTTTCTTAAAAAGCTCTACACAGTCTTGCGATGTGTTTGAAAAATCATACTGTTAGGTATTTCAATCGTGAGTTGAAAGCTGATGTCCTCACAAAAACCTGCACACAAATGTTTATAGTAGCTTATTTCACTGTCATCAAAAACTGATTGCAAGGGGTTCTGAAGAAACAGAGGAAGAGCTGAATAGAACAGTGGAACTATTCTGTGACACTATAACTGTGAATAAATAACATTATGCAATTTTCAAAACCCACAGAACTTTACTACACAAAAAATGAACCTTAATATGTGCAAATTAAAAAAAATCATTTAGAAGTTCTGGAGAATTCTAGGATGGAATGCAGAGTTTGAAGTTAATCAAATTTATTCTTAGGTAAATTACTGTCTTTCACTAAGGAGAAAGCATGTAAGGAAAGAGGGGAAAAGAAAATTGCTGCTTGTCTAGCAACTCATACCCTCTTCACATGCTAACACATTTGGTCACCACAACCATCCTCTCAGACAGTCCTTACTATATCCTCATTTTACAAACCAGGAGTTTGAGGCTCAAGGAAGCTACGTCACCCTCCCAAAGCTGTACCTCAATAATGAGCAAAGCCATAATTTTAACTAGAAGAATCTTATGTCCCTAAATTTTCCCTACCAATCAATGATTCTTATTTTAGGATATAAAATATTTTCTCCGAGATTTGGAAAGCTTTTTCTCCCCTTTAAAAAAAAAAAGTGGTCCACTTTTAAGTTTGAACACTACTGCCTATTCTATGGTCTCTCCTGGAAAAATCTTACATCCTTTCTCCAATTTTTAAATGGTTTCTTCCTGTTAAAACAAATGGGGGAGAAGTAGAGAAATGGAAATTTAGGCACTGGCTTTGAAAACAAGTAGGGAGACAGCAAAAACGAAAGTACAAGTTTGGGGGCAAATGGAAAGAGGCAGTGATGGTGATGGGATCAGTTCAGGAAAAGGCAGATTAGCTCCTTCTTAGTGGTTCCTTCTTAATGAGTTCCAGCAGCAAAGCTCCACTGCAATATATGATCAATGCCCAAGACTGAGCCAAGTAAGGTTCAGAGTGGCACAGGCTCTTTCCTAGTCTGTCGGCAGCCATGGAGCTGGCGCTTATGGAGTAACTATCTGGACTAAATGGGCTGTCCATTTTCTTACCAGTCCTGATAGTCACTCGTGTTAAAATGAAAAGGACATTCTCTAAACCCTAGTGAGTACCATTTTGCTACCTGATCAATGAGAAAAATGTATTCAGTTTCCACCAATAATGGTTTCTACAATTCCTTTAAGTAATCATCAGAGAAAAATAAACATGGCACCTGTGAGAAAAAAATGAAATGTTTTCATTTGTTGTTTTGTTTTGCTTGTTTGTTCTATTCATCTATCATTTGGAGGGATTTTCTTTCCCTATGAAGAAAAGTCTTTACTCATCCTTACATTTATCCACAATATAAATCTGGCGTTTGTTGAGAACCTACTCTGTGCACTGTTTTAAATATTTCATATGTATTTAATGACTTCACTCACAATAATGTGAAGTATTATTTCATCACAATAATGTGATGAAGTGAAGTCTGTTACGAATCAACTTTACATATAAGAAAACTAAGTCACAGGGAGGTGACATGCTTTACTCAAGTCACATAGCTAATGAGTGGTAATTCAAACTCCAGCAGCTTATAATTAAACACTCCTAATGAGCGTACTGAGATATAGAGATGTCTGAAGAGGCTGCTTTTGTTCTTGTGTATGTGTGTGTTTGAGAGTGGAGGGTTGGTTTTAATACAAAACAAAAACTTCATGCATTTTCTAAAAACACACACTGAGTTTCATGAAAAAGGAAACAAACAAACAAATAAACTACTGGATACACTCACTAGTATATACTCCACTTAGAACCTTGGAGTCCCAAATGCAGAAATAGTAGAGGATGGTTGAGGAAGAGAGGACTTAATCACCAATTATTTATTGAGCATCTATTATGTCCCAGGGATAGTACTATGTGTTATGATAAGTAACAAAGGAGATTGAGTCCTTCGAAGGGGCCTCAGGGAACTTACAGATCAGGTGAGAATATTAGATATAGACATAGTAAGAAGAGAAAATGTCTATAGAATCATTTAACTGGGTACAGTGTTATTTTCAGGCCTCTTCCTGCTGTAAATAATAGACTACCAATGCAAACTGACTTAGGCCTAAAGGGTTTTTATGAGCACACCTGCATCCAGGATTTTGCAAAGTATCGTCTGGAAAGTAACTCCACCCCTCGGTTCTGTTTCACTCTTTGTCTCTAGAATGGCTTCTAGAAACTTAGTTCTTTCAGCTTAGTAACTGCAGCAGAAGAAGGGTATCTTTCTCAGTAATTCCCTTCCTAAATGGGCTGTCCATTTTCCTACCTGTCCTGCTAGTCACTTGTGCTAAAATAGAAAGGACTTTCTCTAAACCCTAGTGATAAATAACACTAGTAAGCCTGGCTTGGATTATGTGCAGTTGCTAACCCATCTCTGTGACCAGCAGGAAGAAATTATCTGACAAGACCTAGGTTGTCTGTCTAGCTCAGTCTTAGGGTGGGTCAGCACCATCCCAACCACTTTGACTAGGACTTGTGATTCCCCCACATAAAAATCAGATGCTCTTACGAGATGAGGGAGAAATGTATGCCATATGGGCAGAAACCGCAGAATCCTCTCATGTGACTATAGAACCATGTATGTATGTGTGTATGTGTGTGTGTGTGTGTGTGTGTGTCTGTGGCCACACTTAGTGACTTTTAGACTTGTCACAGCAATATTAACCTCATAAGGTACAGCTCACTTTGTGGATAACACGGAAGCATTCCTTTGCCTGAATTTAATGTGCAGCTTCTTCTGAAGCCAGCTGGGTGACTTCCGGCTCAGGACATTAGCTTTTTAATTTACACTGGCTCTTGGTCAGCTTCCAAGTTCAAGTCAAGGTGTTGATTTTAATCTAATGTTCAAACTTCTAAAGCACTGGCTACTGTAGTTGCAATAGTACAACTTGCATTTTTGGTTCTGCAAACCTAGCTGCCTTAGTTTGATGGCTAAATTGTAGCCTCATTTCTAGAGCCCCTATCATGGTTACTATAACCCCCTCTTTTTATTCCCTCTGCCTCCCACTCTGAAAAAAAGATTTTATTTAAGACATATTCATTGATGGGAAAATCTAGCACTGGCATCAATAGAATTAAAACATCCACATGAGCTCTAGGAAAGACCGTCAATTTTGCTTACTGTTTCAACTGCCTGCCTGCCTGCCTGCCTGCCTTCCTTCCTTCCTTCCTTCCTTCCTTCCTTCCTTCCTCTCTCTCTCTTTTCTTTTCTTTTCTTTTGTTTTCTTTTCTTGTGAAAAGCTATATATATTTAGAATTAGCCATCCACACTCAATTTAGATGACTCCAATTTGGTGACAACATCCAAAGCATTGTAATCAGGAGCCAGTTGAACATATATGCCTTCTCTTCATCAGGACTGTGATGGTTAATATTGAGTTTCAATTTGACTGGATTGAAGGATGCAAACTATTGTTCCTGGGTGTGTCTGGGAGAGTGTTGCCAAAGGAGACTAACATTTGAATCAGTGGACTGAGGGAGGCAGACCCACCCTCAACCTAGGTGGGCACCATCTAATCAGCTGCCAGCATGGCTAGAATAAAGCAGGCAGACAAACGTGGAAGGACTTGACTTGCTGAGTCTTCCAGGCTTCATCTTTCTCCTTTGCGGGATACTTTCTGCCACTGAACATTAGACTCCAAGTTCTTCAGCTTTTGGACTCTTGGACTTACACCAGTGATTTGCCAGGGGCTCTTGGGCCTTCGGCCACCTACTGAAGGCTGCACTGTTGGCTTCCCTACTTTTGAGGTTTTGGGACTTGGACTGGCTTCCTTGTTCCTCAGCTTGCAGACGGCCTATTATGGGACCATCACCTTGTGATCGTGTGAGTCAATACTCCCTAATAAAGTTCCTCCCATTTATACATCTATCCTATTAGTTCTGTCCTTCTAGAGAACCCTGACTAATACAAGACCTAATCAGGGTGTTGACCTTGGCCACATCAGTGTCATAGAGCTTCTTCACAGCCTGTTTGAACTGGTGCTTGTTGGCTTTAACATCCACAATGAACACAAGTGTGTTGTTGTCTTCTATCTTCTTCGTGGTAGACTTAGTGGTCAGTGGAAACTTGGTGATAGCACAGTGGTCAAGCTTGTTTTTCCTGGGGGCAGTCTTTTGAAGACACTTGGGGGGCTTCGGGAGTCATAGTGTCTTGGGCCGCCGGAAGGTGGGTGACTTGCAGATCTTTTTTTTTCTTGTGGCTGTGGACATCTTTTAGCACTGCCTTCTTGGCCTTCAAAGCCTTCACTTTGGCTTTGGCTTTAGGAGGGGCAGGAGCTTCCTTCTTTGCCTTCAGCACCACCTTGTAAAAAAAAGGTCAAATGCCCTTACTACATGTATCCACTGTATTTTTTTTATTGTGGTAGGAAGTACACAACATAAGATTTACCATCTTAGCCATTTTTAAGTATACAGTACTGTAGCATTAACCAAATGCACGTCATTGTGCAACAGATCATTACTAGATCATATGGTAATTCTATTTTTACTTTTCTCAGCAGTCTCCATACTCTTTTCCATAGTGGCTGAACACATCTGCATTGTATTCCCACAAACAGTGCACAAGTCTTACAATTTCTCCACATGTTTGTGAACACTTCTTATTTTCTGTTGTTGTTATTGTTGTTTGTTTGCTGAGACAAGGTTTTGCTCTGCCACCCAGCCTGGAGTGCTGCAGTGTAATCACTGCTCACTGCAGTCTTCACCTCCTGGGCTCAGGTGATCCTCTTGCCTTAGCCTCCTGAGTAGACAGGATCACAGGTATGAATCACCATGCCAGGCTAAATTTTGTAGAGATGGGATTTCGCCATGTTGCCCAGGCTGGTATCAAATGCCTGAGCTCAGATAATCCTCCTTGCCTCAGCCTCCCAAAGTGCTGAGATTACAAATGTGAGCCACCATGACCGGCAGTTTGTGGGGGGTTTTTTTTGTTTGTTTGTTTTTATAGTGGTCATCCTGAGAAGCGTGAAGTGATAATTCACTGTAGTTTTCATTTGCATTTCCCTAATGATTAGTCATGTTGAGCATGCCTCAGTCAATAGCAAATCATCCTTCACCATTATAAGATGGCAAAGCAGAAATTAAAACAAAAAGAGTACTCAAGGAAATAAGAATAACTTAGCATAGATAAGAGATTTTTGAAAGAATATAAAATAGAAGAGAAACTTTAGAATGTGGAACCTAGATATTTTGGGTGGGGGAGGGTTGAAGAAAAAGAGAGACAAAGGGGATAAAAAAAATGCAAGAAGGGCAGTGGGTCTCAAGGATTGTTTAGAGATCGAATTTGGAGAGGCCACACAGACCAGAGACGAGGCCGTATCCAGCACTGTTTTATTCTACTCAAGCACATGTCAACACAGCCTGGGTGCTGATTTAGTGACTACAGACCATATTGTCTCTAGATGCATTGTCAACTTCCACTGTCTACTCTAAGGAGTGTAAAGGGATCTAGTAAAAGCCAATCGTGCACATTAACTGCTATGTCACTAATTTACAACTCAGCAAGAATAATTCCCATCTGCGACCTGAACTATGTTAGGTTTCCACTGAGTTTACGCCATGTGAATAATTTGCCTCACTCCCTTCCCATTTTAATGTTTGAAGATTCAACAGTCTTGGGAACCTAGAGGTTCCCAATAATTTGTCCCATGCCAATAATTTTTTGGAGCTAATAAAATGAGCTCTACATAGATCCTGATTTGGGAGAGTGAGAAAATGTATACCAAATTTGGATACATGGGAAAGACATGCTTTTTGTTTGCTATGGGCTGCCTGTACATATGCTTGTTGACTGTGAGTAGTATGCATGGTATTTAAACAAATGGAGCCATTGATAATTTCCACAAGGTGTGTCTAAAACAGAGCAGCCAAAGTGGTCTGGAATGAACTAAGTCATGTCATAGGAGAAATAATTGAAGGACCAGGAAATGCTTAATTTGGACTAGAGAATGGCTAGGGAACTTGAGGGCCGTACTCATACATCATTCTGTATACACTACTTCACTTCTGATTTGAATACAAATCAGATGCGAATGATGTAAAAAATTAAATTCTGAATGATTCCAATGGCTAACATAAGGGCCAGATATTAGAAAGTATAAGAGGAAAGAATTTAGGCCAATTTAAGAAGGCACTTCGTAATTGAGTGTTCTATCATGGGATGGGATTTCTTCTGGGAGGCATTCAAATATAAGCTACCAATGAAGCAGAAACATGTTGTAGGTTGTTCAGATATCATGCAAGGATTAACTTTAAAGTCTTCTTTGTTCTTTCCTGCAATGGAATTGCTCTACTAAAAAGAGAAAGACTATGATTTATTAGCTATTTGGCATGACAGAAATACAAAATTCAGTATTTTATATGAGATTCAGAAAGTTGAAAATTCAAAGTGTCTTGTGAAAATGCTCAATCATAGTATACTTTATAAAAATTTAAAATACATATGGAAAGTATGGGGTTTCCTTCCATTTTTGTATATAAAAGAGCATAAAAAAACACCATAAACAACTATAAAGCCTGGCAAAATAGATTGACTAACAGTATTCAGACTTCAGACACTAGGAAGTGCCAGAATATGATACCTGAGAGATGAAAAATAAATGAAGTGAATACTACAATTTTCCTGGCTCTCTACCTAGTGACAGTTTTCAAACCATTGGTACAGGAAAGGGAAAAACAAAAAGGGCCTGGCGATCTTGCTAAATGGAAAAAATAGAGATCAAAGTTCAAGGAGACTGAAGTATCTACAAGTGTAGCTAGAACATTGGAAAAGAGAAAGCAATGTAGAAAAAGATACCTAAATATCTCTGTAAGGTTCTCAAAGGGTGAAACTTTACAAAGATGAAAAAATAAGAATCACAGAATAATAGGCTGAGCGACCCAAAGCTCACAGAAAGTAAAGAGACGTTGAAACTTCAACCAGTCAGAGTCGAGTCCTCAGTGATCTGTCACGGTAATTAGTAAATTTCCCAGAAATCGGATACTTCAAGAGTGAGGCTGAACTACCCTGAAATGAAGATTACTCTAGTTTAGATGCACTTAAGAAAAGCTTAAAAACAAACGGCAAAAGGATCATACTAACCCATACATAATTTAACTGCCTGACAGAACAAAGCTCAGTGTTCTTTAAAGGAAGACAACACAATCTAGGCACTCAACAATGTAACATTCACAATATTGAGCTATTACCAGACATGCCAAGAAGCAGGTAAATGTACTTTATAACCAGCAGAAAGATAAGTCATTAAAAACACAACCAGTGGCTGGGCGTGGTAGCTCATGCCTGTAATCCCAGAACTTTGGGAGGCTGAGGAGGGTGGGTCACCTGAGGTCAGGAGTTTGAGACCAGCCTGGCCAACACAATGAAACGTCATCTCTACTAAAAATACAAAAATTAGCCAGGCGTGGTGGCACGTGTCTGCAGTCCCAGCTACTAAGGAGACTGAGGCATGAGAATCACTTGAACCTGGGAGGCAGAGGCAGCAGTGAGCCGAGATCGTGCCACTGCACTCCAGCCTGGGCAACAGAGTGAGACTCTGTCTCAAGGGAAAAAACAACAAACAAACAAACAAAGAAAACCCATGACTAGAAATGACGGAGATAATAGAACTAGTCCAGAAGGATGTTAAAACAACTTTTATAAGTATGAAAAGGTTTTAAAAGATTAACATGAGAGAAGAAAAAATACATAAAAGAACCAGTGGAACAAGCACCTAGAAATTAAGAATTTAAAAAAACCCAAATTTAAAAACTTAAGCATAAAATGAATAGAAGATGAGAAATTTCAGAAGAAAATATAATCAAATTTGAACTTGAAGCAATAGAATGTATCCAAACTGAGCAAAAAGACAAAAAGCAAAATTAACTAGAAGAGTATTACCTAAGTGATGTATAAAATAGCATCAATTGATCTAATATACATACATATAATCTGAGTCCCAGAAAAAATGGAAGTGACAGGAAAATATTTGAATAAACAAGTACATTTTCTCAAATTTGATGAAAACAATAGACAGACACATTATAGAAATCCACAAAAAAGCGCATTATAATAAAAAAGATAAAAATCTGTAGCCAAAAAATTGTAAAAGCTTTGAGAGATAAAAGACACATCAAATACTGAGAAGCAAAGCTAAGAATTATGACAGAGAAAAAGAACACACCAAATGAAGAGGAACAAGAATAAAAAATTTTTTTAAAAGAAATCTCATAAACTATGCAAGCCAGAAGATAATGGAGCAAAATTTTAAAGTGCTCGTGGGGAAAAATCTGATAATCTAGAATTCTATACCCAGGAGAAAAGTTCTTTGAAAATTAAAGTAAAAGAAAACTTTTCAGGCAAGTGCTAAAAGAATTTTCTGCCAGCTGACTTGTACGATGAGAATATTTTAAAAGTTCTTCAGGTGGAAGGAAGTGGTGACAGAAGGACACTTTGATTTACATAAATAAATGAAGATAATTACCAATGGTAAATATAAAAGACATTTTTCCTCATTTTTAAGTGTCTTAAAAAATAAACTGCTTAACACAAAATTAACAATTGATTGTGGGTTTTAAAATTTATGTTAAAAAATTCATAATGATAAGAATAGCCCAAAGGACCAGAAGAAAAAAATGAAAGAATATTGTTGTAAGGCTTATACCTTTTTATATTTTGGATGCTTCTGCAAACTTTATAGCAACCAGTAACTAAGAGATGAGATAAAGTGGAAGAAACATCTGAAAGTATAAAACTGATAAAAATAAGCACATAGTCAAATTCAGAATACTGTAATGGTGGTATGTAAATCACTTATATCTTTATTAGGAAGGATAAAAGACAAAAATATTAAAAATAATATTAACTGCAATAATTTGTTAAAGGATATGCAATATAAAAAGGTATAAATTTTGACAATGCAAATTCAAAATTTGAGGGGAAGTGGAGTCAAATTAGAGATTTTTTTTTTCCAATCAACTTTGTTACTAGCTTAAAATAGTCTGTTATAACTATGAGATATTTTTTGCAAGCCTCATGGTAATGACAAAGCAAAATCCAAGAGCAGGAAAGTAAAAAGCAAGGAATCAAAACATATCAGTGGAGAAAGTCACTTAGCCATAAGCAAAGACAGCAACAGAGGGAGAAAGAGCAAAGGATTTATAGAACAGCTAGAAAACAATTAACAAAATGGCTGTAATAACAGAAACAGGATGATATTGGCCTAAAACCGACATTTAGACCAATGGAAAAGAATAGAGATCCTGGAAATAAATATATGCATTTATAGCCAACTGATTTTAGACAAAGGTGCTAAGAACACACAATAGGGGAAGAACCAGTTTCTTCAATAAATGGTATTGGAAAACTGGATAGCCACATGCAGAAAAGTAAAATTAGACCCTTATCTCACATTATATAAAATCAACTCAAAGTGGATTAGAGATGTAAACATAAGACACGAAACTCTGAAACCAGAAGAAAACATAAGGGAAAATGTCCATGGCATTGGTCTGGACAAATATTTTTTTGGATATGGCCCCAGAAGCATAAGCAACAAAAGCATATACATATGAATGCAGCCAAAGCCCATTCACATCTTTGTAGTAAAATTTGTAATATGTCCTAGTGGACATATGTCTTTCAGGAGCAAAATTTCTTCACTTTACTTTAAGTCTGATCTTAAAGCAAGAGTTCTAACTTTTCCTAGGATTAAAGTTAAATTGGGCTGAGCTATCTACATTTTACTCTCTGTTCTGCTTTTGATAAAGCTGCCATTTATATTAATAGGTAAGGCTAGTTATGATATGGGCCCACAGGGCATGATCAAGGTACCTGCTTGCCTGCCCAGGACTTTGGTCTCCCTCCATGCCCTGTACAATTAGCGAGGCAAATCACTGAGCTCAGGAGCTCCTACTTACCCAGACAGCCACAGTTCTTTTTTTCTTTTTTGTTTTTTTTGAGACAGAGTCTCACACTGTCGCCCAGGCTGGAGTGCAGTGGCACGATCTTGGCTCACTGCAGCCTCTAACTTCCTGGGTTCAAGCGATTCTCCTGCCTCAGCCTCCCGAGTAGCTGGGACTACAGGTGCCCGCCACCATGCCCGGCTAATTTTCTGTATTTTTAGTAGAGATGGGGTTTCACCTTGTTAGCCAGGATGGTCTCAATCTCCTGACCTCGTGATCCGCCCACCTCGGCCTCCCAAAGTGCTGGGATTACAGGCATCAGCCACCAGGCCCGGCCAGTTCTTAATACTTACATCTGACATCCAAGTACAGCATCAGAGCCTGATCCTTTCTGCTGTACCTTTAACTCTGAAAAAAGTCTATGATGGTAAACCAAAGTTTACCTTTATCACTTTAAGTGATAAATTTTATAATTAACTAAATGTATTAAATAGAGTGTGGTTTACTAAGGAGTTCTTCACGGTTAATTTTGGTCCAAGATTTTTTGCGGGATTATTGATAAATTTAGGTTTATCTCTCTTTCTCAAAGGGAAAAGGACTTTGGTTGAGCTTTGTTCTCTCAATAGTCTAAAACCATTAATTCATAGCATTGCTCTGTGTTGTATATTATATTGTCTTTCCAATCATAAAGCATTTTCTTTTGGATTAACTAATGTACTCTGGTTATCTCATATACATGGAGGTGGTTTCCCAAGTAGACTTTAGGTTTTTGGTGGTCCCTTCCAAGCCTGAATTCTGTAACATACCCCAGCTGTGCTTGGTTTTATCTGAAAAGTACAATAGGCAAAAACATTCTCATCAAGAAATTGTTTTTTTTTGCACGAGTGCGCTGACCTTTAATATCAGTGATGGTGAATCTTATAGAGCAGTATTTTTAGGTGTGTTATACAATTTACTGACGATGAAAACACTTTTTCAGATGCTACACAGATACTTTTTTAAAACTTTTAATACTTTCTGTGTTTATTTTACTATGCATTATAAACTACATGAGCAGAAAATAAATCCTACAGTTTTATGGATTATATTTTTAAGACAAGCTTTGAGATGGATATTGGCTTGAAAATAAAGCAAGGTAAATAAAAATATTTATTAATATATGAGCACACAGATGTGGCAAAAATCACAAGGGTGATATGGAAATGCCTGAATTTTGTGGGTGGAGAAAACAACTTTAAGACACAGGCTAGTAAGATTTATTACCTAAACTTAAGCACTCTGATTTTCAATGGCATGTTATATAGCCACCCTGCACCTCGCTTCCTCTCTCTCAGTTGCAGGCACAAACAACCCTCACCTCCTTCCTGGTTATGGCAATAGACATGCACAAACATATACCTCCAATGGCAAATGTTCCAACTGGCCATTGTTTTAATGATGGAAATGACTTACTAGTGACCCTAACAGAGTACGTAGGTATAGAGCCCAGATCTCTGAGCCAGTCTCCTGACCTCTAGCAGGTGTCTACCTCTGGTTTATCAAGAGGAGGCTTGAGCGAATGGATTTCAGAGAGTTTGCTGTGATTTATGAGCTTACAAACCAAGTCATGAGTGGGGAAATAAGTTCCATTTAGCTCTCCAGAGTCAATAGCACAGAGTTGGAGTAAAAACTGGCTACTAGGCCCAGGAAGGAAATAGCACCCATCTACCAAGCAGGGGCAAAGAACACTAGTCACCTGTAGCCAGAAGCAGGGACGCCATCATATTTCTCACCAAATACTACTTTGCCAAGTAATTTTTCACTGCCAGTTGGAAATCTTTTAAAAAAAAGTCAAAATTAATGTTGAGAATTGATGTTATGAATAAAAAATTGTGCCAAATTAGCACTTCGGATTTAATTTTATGTGTAGCATGCTTGCCAAGCAACTTGGAACATTTGCGGGTTGTTGGAAAATAGTTAGAAATGGCACACAACTTCTTCCACCACCTTCTGTTCTTCTCCCCTTTACCCATAGTGTCTCCTCTGGGAGAGACACTGATACTGGATCTCTCTCTCTCTTTCTCTGTATGTGTGTGTGTGTGTGTGTGTGTGTGTGTGTGTGTGTGTAGGGATATAGGTGTCAGAGGGACATGGGGTGATTGTAGGAAATTTTTAGATTTTTTTCTAATCTGCATTCTTTTTGTTTGTTTGTTTTCCACTGAGATGGAGTCTCTCTATGTTATCCAGGCTGGTCTCGAACTCTGGGCTCAAGTGATCTGCTTGCCTCCACCTTCCAAAGTGCCGGGATTCCAGGCATGAGCCACTGAACTTGGTCTCTAATCTGCATTTCTTAAGAATTGCAGGACAAGGAATTCCTTAAATTCAGACACCTGTCCTTGAATTAACATTCCCTTGGAACAGAAAAGATGAAAAAAACAAACTAAAAAACCTCACCTGTTTTCATAACCTGTTCTCTCCAAGAACTCGTAAGGACACATTGTACAGTGTCTCTGTCACTCAGGTCACACTTCTTAAAAGATGCAATTAAATAAATAAAGTGTGTGCTTTCCTTCATAACAACATGTACTTTAAGGCAAACTCATTTTAAAATATCAAGAGCATAAGATAACTTGTTTTTTATTTATGTTGAGCACTGCTCTAGGAGGGGTTCTGAGTTGTATCACATGGCACCTAACTTCTTTCCCTCTATTGTCTATAGTCTGACTCCAAATCAAGTGATTATCTTGAATAATGTCAAATGTTGGCTGAATTATATGTGCCTGATCCACTAAAATGGGGCTTCAACTTTCTTGAATTGGACATCGACATGCTTCTCCTATTTTTAACCAAACTCCTTCATGCTGTTCTGGTTTACCATGCTGTGTCTCATTCCATGTATGACACATTTTATATTCATATAATTGTACATTTTGAAAGAATGTGAGAAGACATCTGGTTCCTTCTCTTTTGCACAAGGGAAACTGAGGTTCATAGGCAAGTTGCTTACCCAAACTGACATAGAGAGTGACTGATAGGAATCTGATCCTTCCTGTTTTCACTTTTAGGCCCAGACATTTTCGGTGACACTCCTCTGTCTCAGGTAGTAGGCATGGGGTCTGTTTTCAAGTGAAGACTCACCTTTGTTCTCTCTGGAAAGAATGTCTTGAATGCTGAGTGCTTCTTTTTTTGAGGCGGAGTCTCACTCTGTTGCCCAGGCTGGAGTGCAGTGGCATTATCTCGGCTCACTGCAATCTCCACCTCCGAGGTTCAAGAGTGTCTCCTGCCTCAGCCTACCGAGTAGCTGGGATTACAGGCACGCACCACCATGCCCAGCTAACTTTTGTATTTTTAGTAGAGACAGGGTTTTACCATGTGGGCCAGGCTGCTCTCGAACTCCTGACCTCAAGTGATCCACCCACCTCGGCCTCCAAAACTGCTGGGATTACAGGCATGAGCCACTGCGCCCATCTGGTGAGTGCATTTCTGCACACTTGGCTTCAAAGCTACTCTTGAATTTTTAATGTGTTTTCTTGTCCATTAACAAAATATTCAGACTCCTACTCTGCTTGGGTGCCCTGGAGTCTAACTGCCTTCAGCACTGCCAGTGTGAGTTTTATTCTTTCTTAATAAGCCACAGTGGAGTGCAGAGCTGAAAGCTGGCTGCCTAGAATATGCAGCAGAGTATGAAAAAGGCAGGAGCTGTTCACAGACTGGGAGATAATGCAAATATCAGACTCTTGTCAGGGCAGAGGAACAAACAAGTGAAATATCCAGAGGCCACACTCCAGGAGCCAAGTGAGTCACCCATTTTATTCATTTTTTCACACAACAGATATGACTGAGTGCCCATCATATCAATGCATTCTGCTAGATGCTATGGAAAATGCAGAAACAAATAGCTCATGAATTCTTTTCCCCAAAAGTGAATTAGAAAGCCACACTTAAAAAATTCTAAAAGAGGGGGTCACCAAAACAAAAAAAGTTTATGTTAATGACCAAATGAGCGGCACAGAAAAAAAATGTTGTAAAATTTCTACATTGAAGAGAAAGAGTTTATTAAGGCTTTGGGGATTATGAATTGTAGCACAAGTTAATATTTCTCTTTCACTTATTATGTGCCAAGCACTGTGCTGAATGTTTTATGTCCATTAGCTTATTTAAATTCCTACAGTAGGCTAAACCTTAGTAAACTTTTGCGGTTTGTTTCTATGTTTGTTTTCTTTTTTGAAACAGGGTCTTGCTTTTTTGCCCAGGCTGGAGTACAATGGGACTATCATGGCTCATGGCAGCCTCGTTCTCCCAGGCTCAAGCGATCCTCCCACCTGAGCTTCTGGAATAGCTGGGACAGGCGCACACCACTACTAATTTTTTTTATTTTTTGTAGAGACGGGGTTTTGCAGTGTTGCCCAGGCTGGTCTTGAACGCCTGGGCTCCAGTGATCCTCCTATGTTGGCCTCCCAAAATGCTGGGATTACAGATATGAGCCACTGCGCCCAAACCCTTGGTAAATTTTAAGTAACTAGTTCAAACTCATACAGCTATGAAGTATTGAAGCCAGAAGTCAGTTTCAGGGATTTTCATTAAACAGCCAAACTTTCACCAAGGAAGTCCTTATTGAGGGTATGGAAGTGAAACAGATTATTTGCAGTTTGAGTAGATAGTATGAAAAAGAAGGGCAAATCACTGGAGGGAGTAAGGAGAAGGAGCAGAGTACTCTATGGTTTAGAAACTTGTCGTATTTGGCCATTATATCTACTGAGATTATTAATTGGTAGGCTGGTAGGATGACACAGAAGGACCTAACAGTAGTTGTTTGGAATACTGTGTCCTGCAACCGGAGAAATAAATTACATCCCTTACTGGGATAGATGACTTATGGAGCTTCTGCCCCTTCAACTAAAATGAAAGAAAGGGAAACCTCTTGAACCATTTTCTCATTTGTTTTTTGTCTCATAATTTGCTCTGCCCAAGGTTCTGGGTAACATCACTAATCAAACCTTCCCACCTTAGGAAAATCAGCCGGGAGAGAAGAAAAAGACAAAGCTCAGGCCTGTAATCCCAGCACTTTGGGAGGCCGAGGCAGGTGGGTCACCTGACGTCAGAAGACAGAGATGAAATGAGTTACACAGCTGAAACTAGAGAAAATATCATCTTATATTTAAATAGTGCTGTATTATTTTCTATTGACTTTTGGTATATTTTATTTTTATATTTGATTTGGTAATCTATCCTCCTCTTCACAGATGGGGGATCTGGGACAAGACAGTCAAAGATTTTCCCAAGGCAATGCTGAACTTAGTGATAGATCTAACCTGCACTGCAGGTCTTCCAGATTCTACCTGATTGACCTAGAAGGTATTCACCCTTGTTATTTTATTCCCATCTATTTAATACATTCTTCGGCATCTCTTATTGAAGGAAAATTAAATTTTTGTCATAATTGCTGCTTTCATTCTTTATAATCAAAATGCTTATTTGTGAAGTATATCTATCCTCTTACATTAGAAGTTTCTTGAGTATTTGGATCATGTCTTAACCATCTTAGTATTTTTCACAGCCTCAAACACAAACCAAGGCCCTATGCAACAATGTTCTGATTTATGTGTTGAACGAATAAATATACAGATGCCACTGGTGCTGAGTGGCAGCATCATGGTGGTTAAGCACCTTAGGTTAAGAGGTAAACAGAGCAGAATGGGTGTGGTGGCTCATGCCTGTAATCCCAGCACTTTGGGAGGCTAGGGCAGGCAGATCACTTGAGGTCAGGAGTTCGAGACCAGCCTGGCCAACGTGGTAGAACCTCCCCCCATCTCTACTAAAAATACAAAAATTAGCTGGGCGTGGTGGTGTGTGTCTATTGTGCCAGCTCCTCAGGAGGCTGAGGCAGGAGAATCACTTGAACCCAGGAGGTGGAGGCTGCAGTGAGCCAAGATCGCGCCACTGCCTGCACTCCAGTCTGGAAGCCAGAGTGAGAGTCTATCTCAAAATAAATAAATAAATAAATAAATAAATAAAGGGGTGGGGGTCAGGGATGGTATACAGACCTGCCTCTGTTATTACCATCTCCAGGATTTGGGGCAAATTGCTTCATCTTTCTAATTTTTGTATTTGTTTTTTAATTTGTAAAATTAATTAAGATAGAACTTATAAGCCTCTCTGAAACTTGAACTGGATTAATACGTGTGACATGCTTAGCACCATTTGTTGCATTGGTAGGTTTTTGATTAATCATCACTGTTATTCTCTAACCCTACTCAGATTTGGGAACCTAAGAATTAAAAGGTCTTGCGTTGCCACAGTGGGTTACTAACAAGTTCGAATATGTAATGTTTCCATTTGGTCAAAAACCCATTCCTTTCGAAAACAACAATTTACACTCGGTAAAATGACTAAAACGGCAAGTGTTAACTTTCAAAGAAGTGCATTGTGTTCTTTGAAGACAGCCTTGAGTTTTCTGTGTGTGTGGGAGACAATTTAGTGATTGGTTCTCTTGTCATGAATGCAAGAGAGAGTTCTTGTGACTTTCTGTCCTTTTCATCCTGGTAGCTCAGCTGCAAGGGAATGGTAGCCTGTGGTGGTGATATTGCATTGATGATGCCCACCAGCTTCTCTCCCTGTAGCTCTGAGTGTCTGTTTTGTGTTTGGATCAGTGGGTAGAAGGTCTCACTGCTCTTCAGAATGACATACACATTGCCAGTAATTACTTTCCTAAAATGGAAAGGGAATTAAAATAAAAGCCTGAATGTAGAAGGGGGTGGCAGGTTTTTGGAAGTGTATTGGCAATTTGAAGCATGAATAATTAATTTTGTCTTGAGATTAAGTTCAGCCTGTGTTTATAATCTGTTGAATTAAAAAAACAACCTCTAATGGGTTCTAAATAAATTCAGTATCAATTCAAACTATTAGAGGAAGTTAAATCAAAATAATTAGGATATTAAAATACTTTGTGCATTTCCAATCACTGCCTTATTGAGGCTCTGGATCTTTTCCAAGGAACAATAATAGCAGGAGTATATTAGGATGTTTGCTTGCCTTACAATGTGACTGTTTGTTCATGTAAAGATGATTGAGAACTTGCAGGAGACAGAAAGCCAGATTAATGTGTTGACATATTCAAGGGATTGGGTGCTATATAAATGACGAATTATTTTGTACATATAGATTAAAAACAACATAGTGACAGTTCACTGTTAAAATAGGTGAATTTGATTGTTCCTTATTTACAGTCATTACTAATTTCATACTACAGTAAGGAAGGCATTATTTTGTGACATGTTCAATTACTACAGAATGGGTTGGTAAATCTAAATAAGATTAAGGTGCATTCCAATAGATCCCAGTGATTGGTGATTTGGTCACTTTGCTTATGGTTGTCAATACTCATTGTAATGTAAATTGAGATAAAGAGATTCTTCCCCCATATGTTATTTATTAGGATTCTTCTCCCCTCCTTCTGCCCTTAATGCTTGCTTGGAGCCTAGTAAGTGTAAAAATTTGGACAAATATAAAGGATTTTGAGACAAGTTTTTCCCCTTTTCTGAGGTAACAGCTCATTTTCTTGTAAATAATTTTGGTAAACTTACACAGTGGCTGCCATAGTGGAGTGATCGTGAACATTTAAGAGCTTATACATTCTCTGGATTTAATTCTAGGGCTTAAATGAATTGGTTTCTAAGAGATTTCTCTGCAATATTTTAATTTTTTGTTTCTTTTTTTTTCTAAGCAATATGCAGTTTATCTGTATTTAATATCTCTTGAAAAAAATTTTAATTAATATAGCACTAACATAATTTATAACTGGCTATCAAAACTGACAATTATTATGGCAATTTATGGCTTGCTTTTCTATTTTTTTTTTCTGGAGAAGGAAAGAGAGAAGAGAGAATTTCAAGGTATCCAAAGTAATTTATTCTGAAACTGAAGTATTGCATTAAATTATTTGCTTCCTGGAGAATCAGAAAAGATAACAGGATATGCAAAAATGGATCCTCCATCCCCAAAAGACATCATAAAGTATAATTTCTAGCAGTATTATAAATGATTCAGCAAAACAATAGTATTTTGAGTTCCAAAGAGCTCAATAAAAATATAAACAAAAATTAACAAGCAACTGCTACATAATTCTTAGTAGAATTATGAAAATGTTTGTTATGTGTCTTAATGAGAATAAATAATGGGTACTTAATTCACTATTTATATACATACAGTGAGTTTTCCCTTGCTTGAAATATACTTACCAGTGTGTATGTTAATGGAACTGCACTGTTTCTCTGCCTCATTAGAAAAGGGTTGTTAAGCTTTCAAACAATAAGTTTTTACGTATTCTAAAACAGAGCTGAGCATCAACAGCTGGAAAATTATATCTTTAAAGGCTTTTGTCTCACTTCAGAAGATGTGAATAGAGCAGGCTGTAGTATAGACGGGGGCAATATCTTTTTTTCTGAATTATATTTTCATAATATTTCTAATAGATAAACAAGGTCTGCATTTGTTTCAGGACTATGCTTGCTCACCCCTGTCATTTTCTTTCTTTGGGGTCTGTCTATACTTAATTCCTCATATGTAAAATGGAGCTAAAATCACCCCCTTTCAGTCCTCCCCTATTTGTGGATATGCATTGTGTAAGAGAAGCCAGAAAGGTTGACAAGGAGAAGGTCAGCCAACATGATGGAAACACTGTGGGTGTGGAGCCAGATGGTACTGGGTTGTCTTGCTGACACCAGCACTGACTTTGGGCAAGTATGAGGGAGTTCAGGCAGGCTGGTGGGAAGCATTTTAAAGATAGTTATAAGAAATAGTCACAAACCTTCTTGGAAGCCTGGGGGTGTTGCATAAGCTTCAGTCATAGATCTGGCTGAAGGCAGTCTAATCTTCACCTTGAGTAAATAGCTTAAAGTAGGTACAAAGGAATGTAAGGGAGTTTATCTAAATAGCTTGTTTACTCATGTGGTCCTAAAACTAACCTTTGATCTTTTGAGAGTAGGATGTCTCTCTTGGGGAGAGGGCGACTGGGTTAATTACCCTCTAGTGGTGTTGACTCAAAGCCTTTGTCATTTAATGTGTGCTGAATAAATGCCAGCAGGACCAGCTATTCCGGGCCATGGCTGCTACAACTCTTTCAGTCAGTGGCCTGGCCCCCTAGCCCACTCTTTCATTGAATATCAGTGTCTGAGTACGTTATTCATCCGTCGTACAGCTGGGGTCTGCAGGACAGTACCCAGCAGAAGTAGCTATATTTCACTGAACCTCTGTTTCCTCACTGGTACTATACCTAAATTGACAATACCTACTTGCAGATTTCTCATTAAGTACTAGAAATACTTTATATTAAGTGCTTATTATAGCACCTGGTAAATACTGTTTACTCAATAAACACTGACTAATAGTAACAGAGGTGGTCAAAATCATAGTTGTTGCAATAGTGACTTTATCATACAGGTTAAGTATTCTTTTGTTATAGGTGAGCCTTATCATATACTCATGAATTATTATTTTTTTTAATTTTAGAGCCTTCTACATTCCGTAGAATGTTTCTAAGACATTTCTCTGCAATATTTTAATTTTTTTCTTTTTTTCTAAGCAATATCCAGTTTATCTATGTTTAATATATCTTGAAAAAGTATTTTTAATTAATATAGCACTAACATAATTTGTAACTTTCAGTAGAAGACTCATCCACCTACCATACAGGTTAGGTATGCTTTTGTTATAGGTGAGACTTATCATATACTCATGAATTATTATTTTTTAATTTAATTTTTAAAAATTTTCTACATTTAATTTCTACATTCAGTAGAAGTCTCATCCACCTAGACAGCTTGGATGAGTGCGTTAGATAAGCTGTGATGTGAGGAACAGCATGTTGGCATGTGGGCTCTGGATTAGGGAGGCAGCAAGCAGCTGTGGATCCCAGAACACCAGAGAACACATGCCCTGTCTAAATGAGGCAGGCATCATTTGCTCGCTTCCAGCTGATTTTTTTTTCTTTTGAGAAACAAAGACCTCTGTTTTATCCATTTTTTTTCCTAAGAGAATCTAGAAAATCTGGATTTTATGCAAAATATCCTTCTGTAAATATTGACAACAAATTCAAAAGTATTGTGTATGCCAACAGTGTTAGGCTGAACACAACATAATTGTAGAATAGGTTCAGCCTGTGGATGCCAGTTTGAAATCTCTCATCTGTCCAACAGAGAGCAATATAGTTACTATTTATTTACACAGCATACACTATTGCTGGTAGGTACTTTTTAAGCACTTTACATATATTTATATTACATGTACTTATATTTAAGTATCCCAATGACCCTAGAAGATGGGTAATAATAATCAGTATTATTATAATCAAGTCCATTTTACAGATGAAGAAACTGAGGGAAAGGGAAGTTAAGTAACTTGCCCAAGCTGTCTGTTATTTAGCAGCAGAATTGAGATTTGAACCTAGGTAATCTGATTGCAAAGTGTTTGCATTTAATCCTAGAGTTTATATTATTTGAAATGAGTTGGTTGAAAAAAAAAAAAGGTAATCCTAAGGTATATAAACTCAAGTAATGAATTCTTATTTGCAAGAACTATTTTTAAATGAGATCTTGAAGTAGATAATTCTATAGGACCTAAATTTCATTTCAGGCACACACTATTCAATAGCATTTATTGAATTTGTACAAAATGCCGAGTTCTCAACAAGGAGCAGTAATGAGGATAAAGACAGAAGTCATGGACCTTGTCTTCAAGCATTTTTCAAGTAGTAAGAGAGAAAATGGATGACTAACATAGCATCACAATATATAAAATGTTTCCATAGGATATTTCTAAGGCTTTTGAAGAAGAGGGGGGATTGTGATTAGCTTGGTAATGGATGACTTCACAAACATGGTGGCATTTCAGCTAACTCCTAAAAAGCGAGTTGCATTTCAATAGAGATGGAGGTAGTAAAGACTCAGTATTAGCAAATATTTTGTGGCAGGAGAGACAATACTTTAGCAAATACAGGCAATAGTCTTGTTATTCTATAATTAAGATTTGCAGAGGAATAGAGAAAAAAAGAAGATAGGTATCAGAGGCCTTAAATGTGCCTGTGAGTGTGTTCGCTGTATCTCCCTGTTATAATTATATGAGTCCATTCCTTATTCATCATTTCTCTCTCTCACACATACACATATGCACAATTTGCATTCTCATGAAAACAATAACACCAAACTAGTATGAAATTTTCAGAAGGATCAAAATGTCTCTAACGATTGAGCAGAGTCCATTTTTGAAATGATTTACTATTGTTGCCCCCACAACAGAATTGTAAACAAAGAAAGAGCTATACAAATTATCCTTGTTTCATTTATAAAATAAAAATCGCAGGAGGTAGAGAGATTTCAGAATGAGACCATAGAAAGGAAGATAAATTTTAGCCAAAAGGAAGGGGTTATGGATGACCACAAGTGTCAACTGAGAATTACTGGACCACTACCTAGACTGAATTATGATTCTTTCTCCCCTGCAAGACTAACACTAGCTCTCTGTGATCTATTGCATGCACAATACTCTTAGGTAGACACAGTGATTTCAGAACTTCTTATAAGTGTTAGCTTCTACAATAAAATGCTAATACTTAATGATTACTACTAAGTAGAGGGAGCTCATTCTTTTCCTTTTACTTTTTTAAATTATTTATTATTTTAAAAATATAAATGAACCTGCAGCTTGAACTGATATGAAACTATTATGACACAATACACAATACTTACTAGAAATAAACCAAGACTGTGAGGGAAGGTTTTTCTTATATTTTGACTCTTAAACCTCCCTGTTAAATCATCTCTTCAAGTAAATACATTTTATGTATATAGAATGTTTAGCACACTGCATGGCATGGAAAACTGCTCTATGCATTTGGCTATAAAAGCAATATTACTTGTTCTTATTATTTCTATCATCATCAGCAGCAGATCTCTTCCCAGGCTGCATTGGAAAACTCATACCTTCAATTTATCTTGGTCATTAACTGCTCCGAAGATGGCACTGGATTCATGAAGTCTGACAAGGCAGAATTTGGACAATAACCTGTGGAAGGCCATTGAATTTCAGCACCAATCACTGTGAATCTATTTACTCGCTACAAAAGCCTTTAATTTACTGTGTTAAATCACAACTGTAAAAATTGTCAACTCAAATATTTCCCATCAACTATAAAGCATTAAAGTACAAATTCCATTTTTAAAACACACATTTATTATTCTCTCTTATTTCTTTTCTTTCTACTTTATTTTCCCCCAGGGGTTGGGAAGAGTGGTTCAAGAGGGGCCTGCCTTTGAAGTTATTTTAATCTTTACTCTATCTAGTCCTTTCCTGGACTCATTTAATATACTTGATTTTTAAGTCATAATTATATTCTCCAGAAACCAATTCATGACATCCTTCCTAAGAATCGTTCATTAAAATCTAATTTTTGCCTTCTAATTTTGGCTTTTTAGCTAATGAAATCTGCAGTAATTATAAATGTCCATCTTGCAAAACCTTCAAATTATTGGCATTTATATATAAAGTCAGGCAGTTGGAGAATGATATTAACATTGAAGTTAGCTCTTTCCTTTTCATTTCAATGAAGTTAAGGTAGTACATATATAGTCATGTATATTTAAATAAGAGTATCTCATTTAGTTTCTTTCAATATTTTTACACTGTCATTAGAACTCTTTTGAATGGTACCCAAGGGATATCACATCTAATTTAAACTTCAAGGCAAAAAAGACATCAGGAAACTTCAGATTCATTATTCAGCTTGATGATCTGAAAAGACTGTAAAAAAGTTTGTGTAGTATTTGGCTCTGATCTACTGAAGGTGTCCTGTAGTTTTCTGAATTATCAAGTGAAATTTTATCAAAAAGACAAATCATTTATGAAAAGTTAGTATACTTCCCTGGCTCACGAGTTTAAGCCATGTATAAGCAAAACAATAAGCTCTAAATTCCCTTGGCACTAACAATGTGAGAGCAGCCGGGCGCAGTGGCTCACACCTGTAATCCCAGAACACTGGGAGGCCGAGGCGGGTGGATCACGAGGTCAGGAGATCGAGACCATCCTGGCTAATACGGTGAAACCCCGTTTCTACTAAAAATACAAAAAATTAGCTGAGCGTGGTGGCAGGCACCTGTAGTCCTAGCTACTTGGGAGGCTGAGGCAGAAGAATGGTGTGAACTCAGGAGACGGAGCTTGCAGTGAGTGGAGATTGTACCGCTACACTCCAGCCTGGGTGACAGAGTGAGACTCTGTCTCAAAAAAAAAAAAAAATAAAAATAATGTGAGAGCTAGGCTATGCATCTGAATGCATCTGATATGAAAGGAGTAAAGTTGAAGAAAGCTCAGTACTAATCAATGTCTAGCCTGTATAGTCCAAGAATAAAGATCAGATCATGAATGAGGAAGTTCCACAAAATATGAGTTCCACTGAAGTTAGCTGTTGGAGGGGAGAATGCACAGGTGGTGTAGTAGAGAGAGGACACACTTTACCCAAAGATACAGAGTTAGAAATTGGCAAAGCCATGTTTCAAATCTAGGTCTATATGACACCAGATTTATAAGATGTATATGAGTCTCCATTCCATTATCTACAAAATAAGAATAATAACACCTTCTTCAATAGGTCTGATTTGAAGTTTAGATAAGACATTACCTATGATTTACTGAATATTTTCTATATACCAGTTTACCATTTTCATTTAATAGCAAGTGTGCCCTGTGGACTACAATGAGAAATTAGCTGCCATTCTAAAGCCTATTGCCCACTAGAATAAAATATGAAAAGCAGATGGCCCTCAGTTTCTTTCCCTTGATCTGGTGTCTTAGACTCATGCAAATATATATTTATATATCTTCCTTAGAGATATAGACTTATGCAAATATATCTTAGACTCGTGCAAATATGTCTTTATATATCTTTCTTGGAGATAATTGAGTGGGAAATACAAACCTCTGAGCCCCTGCACTGACTTTGTGCTTTGGGAGGGCAGCTGAGCTGATATTGACATCAAAGAACCAGTACTATGAACACTAATTTTGATAAAAATAATTTATATTCTTCTAGCATAAAATTGAAAAAGAATTAGCTAGGTTAATGTACTTCCTCTTATTTCCACACCAAACTTAATTTCAAACACCTTGTCTAAATCTGATAGCTTTAGAAACAATATTTAATAAAGGGTTATATCAGCTAAAGTCTTTTATTCCAACATCAAGAAGCATCCATTCTTTGTGAAATGAGTAAATTCTTAATATTATTTGGCTTATTTCTTTCCATTTTAGCTTTAATAAAAAACAAATTATTTTCTTAGGGATTTCTATAAAATTTATTGTCTTCATAGGAAGTCAGAATCCATGGTTATAGAACCATTAACCCATAAGATTCTTGAGGTTCGGTGTTACCTATTCATTATTTAAGTGGGGCCCAGAGCAAGCACTGTATTTATTCATATATTTATTCATTAACTTTGCATGTATTTAGTATTTATTAATATGCACCCAGACACTTGAAGGACAAAAATATTTTTACATGTTTTTATTTTTCTTGCCCTCTAAGATCTTAGAGATGATTCAGAAAGACATGATTAATGAGTAAAACTAAGTTACTAGAGGATAAAAATACATGTGTAAAATGTACAATGTATTAATAAAAAATGATACTTACCACTTAAATGATAGCTATATGCCAGGCACTGCATATTTATTATCACATGTAAAAGTTACACGTGATCTTCACTGAAGTCAACAAGATATATACAATTCATCTCCTTCTAAAGGGAAGAAATAGAAATAGTGAATGATTATGTGGCTTCTGGATGCCACTTTTGCCAAGTTAGTGAAAGAAGTAAGACTGGGACCAAAGGGGGTCCCAATTCTGTCCACTCTTTGAGACAATCTTCTTCACATAAAGAACGTCAAAGTCAAAGCCCAGGGGAAGAAAGCATGGAGTGAGATTAGACAGGAAAAGGTCCATAGATATATAGTCTCTCTTTATATCAATATATGTCTGTTTAGATTGTAAGCTTTTATAATACTATAATCCTTTCAAAAACAAGTTATTTACTAATTGGTTTGTACTGATATAGAAATGATGCATTTTTCATAAATATTAAAGTCTTTGGAGGCCTATGGATTAGAAATATGGATTCATTTGCTGGGTGAAATGAGAATACATCTGCAATTGGGAGATGCACAGGCTGAAAGGCCACTGAAATCATAAGGTTTAACCTTCAGTTTTGTAATCAAAGAACGGAATTTCAGCAATGTGTTCAGTTCTGTGTACACATTTAAGAGAAAAGTTGAAAAACGGAAATGTGTTGAATACTTATACAACATCTGAAAATGACAAAGACAATAAATGTACAATGCATTCTCAAGTATGAGATAAAGACCGTAAGAGTTACAAATGTATTTCCCATAGCGGTCTGTACACACTCAGGTTTGTGCTTATCTCTTCACATTGTAATTATTTACATGTTGACCTTTTCTTCTGAAATATAAGAATTTAAAAACCCAGACCTGTGTCATACTGATATTTGCATCTCTGCCAGCTAGTGACTTTGTATCTTGCACATAATAAGTTAACAGTGAATGAATAAGAGATCAATAAAAGATCAGTAGTTCAAAAAGTTCACACAGGTCCTGTCCTAGTCCATTTTGTGTTGCTGTAACAGAATAACACAGACTGGGTAATTTATAAATAAAAAGGATTAGTTTCACAGTTCTGAGGATTGAGAAGTCCAATATCGGTGTACAGGCATCTGGTGAGGGCCTTCTTGGTGCGTCATCCCATGGTGGAAGGCAGAAAGGCAAAAAAGCATGAGAAAACGAGATCAAACTTGTAGCCTCAAGCCCTTTTATCATTGGTAGTAATCTATTTATGAAGGTGAACCCCTCAAGACCTAAATCCTCCCATTAGAGTTGCATTGAGGATTACGTTTCTGACATGGTTTTCTGAGAAATTCAAGCCATAGCATTCTTTCCCTGACCCCAACAATGCATGTCTTTCTTACATGCAAAATACGTCCATTCCATCCCAATAGCCCCAAAGTCTTAACTCATTTCAGTGCCCACTCAAAAGTCCAAAGTCTCATATAAATCAGATATGGGGAAGCCTCAAGGAAGGATTCATCCCGAGGCAAATTTTCTTCATCTGTGAGCCTGTGAAATCAAAACAATTTGTGTGCTTCCAAAATACAATGGCAGGACAGTCATAGGATAGACATTCCCATTCTAAAAGTGATAAATAGGTAAGAAGAAAGGGATAACTGGTCCCAAGTAAGTCCACAACCCAACAAGAGAAATAGTGTTAAGTCTTAAAGCTGGAAAATCATCTCCTTTGATTTCATGTCTTGCATCCTGGGCACACGGGCAGGGACTGGATCCCAAGGCCTCAGGCAGCCCCATCCCTATGGTTTTTTTGGGTGTGGTGTACTCAGTACCTTGCAATGGATGAAGTCTCATACTTGCTTCTTTCCCAGGTTACAGTTGCATGCTGGTGGACCTATAGTTCTGGGGTCTGTGAGATGGCTTTGCTGCCATGGCTCTACTAGGCATTGCATTAGTGGGGGAATCTCTGTAGCAGCTCTGCCCCCACATTTTGCTCAGCATTACCCAAGGAGGAGATCTTTGCAGTGGCTCTGCCCCTGTGACAAGTCTTTGCCTGGGCCCCAGGCTGTCAGTGACATCCTTTGGGCAGCGGCTCTACCCCTGTGACAAATTTTTCCTGGGCCCCTAGGCTGTCAGTGACATCCTTTGGAATCCAGATAGAGGCAGCGGTGACCCCACAGGTTGTACATTCAGTACATCTGCAGAGTGAGCACCATGTGGATGCTGCCATGGTTTAAGGATTTGCTTCCAGAGTAGTGGCACAAGCCACATCTAGGCCCATTTGAGCCAAAGCTGGGGTGGCTGAAAAGCATGATGCTGGAATGCAGGGAATAGAGACAAGATGGTGCCGGGGCAGCAGATCCCGAGGTTCTGCTGGCACCTCTGTGGGGAAGACTTGCCTTCAAGATTCTGGCTTGCCTCAAATCTCTGAAGGGTTATCAGGTTTATTCTCTTGTTTTCTTGATGAATGGAATCTAGCTTTCTTCTAGCCATACTAATCTTCTTAGCAAACTTGCTTGGCCACACTCATGGTTTGTTCTCCTAAACACATCGTTTTATTCTTTACATAACTAGGCTGCAAATTTTCCAAACCTTTCATATCTGCTTCCCTTATAATTATAAATTCCATCTTTAAGGCATTTCTATTTTCTCTTATTTTTCTGTAAGCAGCCAAAGAAGCCACGCAGTATCTTGGATGCTTTGCCACTTAGATATTTCTTCTAGTTCATCACCATTGAGTTCGGCATTTCACAAAGTCCCTGGATATGGAGGCAATTCCTCCAAGTTCTTTGCAACTGTGTAAAAACGATGCCCTTTACTCCAGTTTCCAATATCTTATTCCTCATTTCTATCTGAGACCTCATCAGAATGGCCTTACTATCTGTAATTCTATCAATATTCTGATCCCAATCACTTAAGTAATCTTTAAGAAATTTCAGAGTTTCTACAACTCGTCTCTCCTGAGCCCTCACCAGAATGGCCCTTATGGCTCCATCCATGACAGTATAGGCTTCTTATAACCTGCTTCTCCAAATTACCCATTATCGAGTTCCAAAACTGCTTCCTCATTTTCAGGTGTTTATGATAGCAACAGCTCCATTTCTGGTATCAGACTTCTGTCTTTGTTTTGTGTTGCTATAACAGAATTCCAAAGACGTGGTAATTTATAAAGAAAATTATTTGTCACGGTTCTGGAGGCTGGAATGTCTAATATTAAGGTAGCAGCAACTGGCAAGGGCCTTCTTCCCATTTCATCTCATGGCAGAAAGGCAAGAGAGAGTGAGAGAGCAAGACATCAAACTCATAGCACCAAGCCCTTTTATAATTGTCAGTTATCTATTCATGAGGGGGGAGTCTTTGTGACCTGATCCCTCCTAGTAGCCCACATCTTCCAACACTGTGGCACTGGGGAACTAAGTTTTCAACACATGCTTTTGGGGGGACATATTCAAACCATAACAGGGCCTGAGTCCAGATATCAAAGACTGAGTGGGATTAGAAAGGGGAGAAGGGAGCAAAGAATATTTGCAGCATGGAGAACTTGATGGCATAAATCACAGAGGTGGAAATGATTGTTGAATGTTGATGGATCAGGAAACCATGAGTATTTCCAGCAGAAACAGGATAAAGACAAGGGAAAGAGAACAATAGGGAAGGAGCTTCAGTAGGCCACAGATCATGAAAAATCTTGAAAGTCAGGAGAAGAAATTGAAATCCACAGGACTTACAGTAAGAATGAAGAGCTTTGGGAAAAGGAGTCAGAAGTGAGATGGTGGGAATGATGATTAATATGTAGATTGAACAGAGAGATACAGAATGAACAGGAAGACCACCTGGACAGATCCCATGTGACCGATGTCAGCAAAAGAGCAGTTACCTAATAACTTCCAGTAATCTGATTCTATTATTCATGGCTCATCTTACAGAGGTTGGGGAAAGTAGATCTTTGCAGCTCTATTGCATTCTCAAAACTAGAGGATTCATTCAGTCATTTATTCAATATGCATTTCTTGAATATCTATCATGTGTCAGGGAATGTGCAATTTGTTGAGATTCAAATATTCAGAAACTGATTAAGGATCTGGAGCTCACTCTGTCACAGAATGTTCAGCTCAAATCTCTAATCAATTTGTACTCTAAAATTTTTGAATAAAGGATACTTTCTTTTGTAATGTCTTATAATCAATTTTGCCTTTAATACCATGGCATCAAGCTTTTCTCAGTTGTATTGTACTGTCATGGTACAATATTTAGGTTACTATCTGATGGCATTGTAGACATGAATATTAGGTAAAGCAATAATAAATGGAGACAGTATCACTCTAGAACATTCAATTTTCTGAGAAAATGACAAAACTTCAGGTATAATAGTATACTAAATACTGTTGAAATGGGGCCAAATCATGCTTAAAATATGCATCATTTTGCTACTGATGTTGATTTCACTCTGTTAATGATATGAAATTGTATTCCATAGGTCAATATTAATCACTATGTTGATTGCTTCTGAAGGAGGTAAACTGCTATAGTATGTATTAAAGAAATTCCAGGAAATAGAAAATAAGCCAAGAGTTATTAGCACTCAACTAAGAGAAGAGCAAATACATCTGATGCTGTCTAGATGTTTTGTTGGCCTGATGATTCCATGTTTCAAGGGATGTCATTGCCTAGATTTGCAAATATACAAGTGACAGGAAAAGTTGACTTGTAAGAATTAGGAGAAAATGGCTTATTTAATGAGGGAGTCATAAGACATCCCTATGTATCCATATCTATGGTATACATTCATGTCTGTGGTATACTAATGTGATCCTACAAAATTAACAAGACTATCCTGTTCAGGGGTAAGCTGAGATCACAATAGCAGTAATAACATAATTTTGTTATGGTTATAGTTTTTTGTTGTGCTCACCTACAAGAACTCCACTTTCCTCTAATTCTTCCTGATTTTGATGAGCTCACACATGAATTATATTTGCTTTAATTTGTGCCTTTTCTATTTTTTCTATGCTGTATGTATCACTTACACTATCAGGCTAAAAGGTTACAAAAATGTAGCTCAATCCAAACAGTTATTGAAGTCTCCAAGGGGCATCTTACATGCTCATGAACTCTTTGTTTTCTTTATGAAGTATATTTTTATTTTATTTATGTATTTACTTTTTATTATTTTTGTTATCTTCCCATAGCTTTTTGGGGTACAGGTGGTATTTGGTTACATGAGTATGTTCTTTAGTGGTGATTGGTGAGATCCTGGTGCACCCATCACCCAATATGTGGGAACTAAGCTATGAGGACACAAAGGCATAAGAATGATACATGCTCATGAACTCTTGCTTATTTTTATTTGTTTTTCTCCTCCTCTGTTGTATTGTCTTCTGCTGAGGCCATCAAAGACTCCTTGATATGCTATGCCATTTCCTTCTTTCTCTGGTCCAGCTCTTTGCTCACACTAACTTACATATTTCACATTTTCCAACACATGATGCCAAGAAAGATAATATTTCACTCCCCTACTTTTGATTTATTCTATTACCTAGGTTGCATAATAGAACTAATTCATTTCCTTATTGCTTTCAAAAAGTTTGGTAAAGGCAACTCTTCTATTATTACTGATTTTATTTTATTTAGTTATTTATTTTTGAGATGGAGTCTTGCTCTGTCGCCCAGGCTGGAGTGGAGTGGCATGATCTCCACTCACTGCAAGCTCCGCCTCCCAGGTTCACGCCATTCTCCTGCCTCAGCCTCCTGAGCAGCTGGGACTACAGGCACCCGCCACCAAACCCGGCTAATTTTTTGTATTTTTAGTAGAGATGGGGTTTCACCATGTTAGCTAGGATGGTCTCGATCTCCTGACCTCATGACCCTCCTGCCTCGGCCTCCTAAAGTGCTGGGATTACAGGCATGAGCCACTGCAAAATTATAACTAATGGACTTAACTGTCAGATCTAAATTTATAAAGATGGGATGATAAAGCTGTGGGTAGTCAATACTCTTCTCCACTCAAGATTGATCTTCCTCTTCAGCATTGTTCTATTGTCCATGTACCAACTTAGTGTTCCTCATCTTCCTTTTCTCTTGAGATGAGTAATTTCTCAGAAGGCCACCAGATCTATTATATAAATAGGCTTCTGGAGGACCTGAATCACCTGTCTTCAGATGTGTCTGAAATAATGGAAGAACATAGTTTAGCTTTCCAACTTGGGAGCATCCACTTTACTGTGTAGATGCATCATTATTAATGCATGTATTTTACATTCAATATATTTTTTTCATTGTGTACACGTCTACATGTAGAGTAAATTTCAATTGTAATATTGTCACAGAGGGCCTGAATGGTATTTTTTTCATATATTGTTATTATTATTTGAGATGGAGCTTCACTGTTTTTGCCCAGGCTGGAGTGCAATAGCGTGAGCTCAGCTCACTGAAACCTCTGCCTCCTGGGTTCAAGTGATTCTCCTGCCTCAGCCTCCCAAGTAGCTGGGATTACAGATGTGCGCCACCATGCCCAGCTAATTTTTGTATTTTTAGTAGAGATGGGGTTTTGTCATGTTGCCCAGGCTAGTCTTGAACTCCTGACCTCAGGTGATCCACCCATCTCAGCCTCCCAAAATGCTGGGATTACAGGTGTGAGTCACCGTGCCCCAGACAAGTTTTTTCCATATATTATTATGCACTTAATGGTTAATTATAAGATCATAATGGGGATAAAATTTGGATTATTGTTACTTTCCATCTTAATACTTTAATAATTTAAATATTTAATGGTGACTATATGATTTGGGTCTAGTTATCTTGGTATACATCTCCATTGAGGATAGGGCAGTTAATATCTTCTTATCCAAACAGGAAATGGGGAGAACACACAGTGATGTAAGCAAAGACATACTATTGCTTTTATTTGAGGTTAGGCTGCAAGAAAAGTTTTTATCTATAATACCCTAACACAATATGTAGTAATCTCAAAAGCAGGTATATCAGCCATTGTGTAGTGGGTCAAACCCCAAACTGTTTTAATTGGTAGAATTATTTGCTATGACACCACATAGCTGCAATGCTTATATTAAAAGAGGCTACATATTCTTGAAGATCCATCTGTAATTTCACAATGTAAAGACTTTATATCCCTTTACAATTATTTCTATTTGAAAATTGAGAGTTAGGTTTAAGGTACAACTTGTTAGATGCTGTAACTAGTACTCAGTGACCAAGTGTAGATCTGATTTATTATGCAAATAAGGCAGAAAAATATATTCTATTTAATCATGTATAATTTTTTTTCTTGATAGAGTGGCCAGGCACACAATGAATATTCTATGAACCCAAAATCTTCTTCAGAAAGGAAGATATTTATATGAGGTTGTAATAGCAAGGTGCCAGAAACTTGATTTACAGAGTTTGCTTGGTCGGTTGCAGAAAATAGTTTGTCTTTAAACAACTGAATCTTATAATGAGAAAATTATCAAAAGCTTTTAGCTACTCAGGTTATTTAAGTGAAAGATTAATTCATCCATTATGAGCTATAAAACCCATTGATTACTTGACTTAATTACTTAAACCTTACAGCCTGAGAATCTTGTCTGACTGAAATATCGCCCCTTCAACCAGAATGTATTTTTGAAGAATGATTTTATGATACTGCAGCATTTCAGGTAAGCACTGTTCTCTCAATAAACATGAGGAGATAATTCACATGGGCAAATGGTAATATATTTAGAGTGCAGCAGCAGTGTCTTGGCAGCTATTAACCATTGTCACACCTGGTGCCAAAACTCACATCTCACGTCCAAAACCTGAATTCAGTGTAAGAACCATGGATAATTTTGTTTCTAGCATTTTTTCAGAATCCAGATACCTTTTAGCAAAATTATCTTTCTTTATATAAAGATTAATATACATGTCAGAAAAGAGTAATTAGGAAAATGGTGAATGTGAGAATCATTGCTATGACTAGGTTGATGTGGGTTGTTTGGAGAAATGAAAACAAATATTGTAAAATTCTTTCATTTCTTGTTAAACTTTTAGGTAGGTACTTTTTGTTTTGTTTTGTTTTGTTTTTGTTTTTTGAGATGGAGTCTCGCACTGTCGCCCAGGCTGGAGTGCAGTGGCGCGATCTCAGCTCACTGCAACCTCTGCCTCTCAGGTTCCCGCCATTCTCCTGCCTCCGCCTCCCGAGTCGCTGGGACTACAGGCGCCTGCCACCACACCCGGCTAATTTTTTGTATTTTTAGTAGAGACGGGTTTCACCATGTTAGCCAGGATGGTCTTGATCTCCTGACCTCGTGATCCACCCGCTTCAGCCTCCCAAAGTGCTGGGATTACAGGCATGAGCCACCGTGCCCAGCCTTAGGGAGGTACTTTTGTACTTATTTTATAGATGGGAAATCTTCAGAGAAATTAAGTAACTTTTTGAATGACATTCAGCTGAGAAATAGCAGGGCTTTATTTTTTGCATGCTCTTTGAAATGTAACATTATTGGTTTCAGACCTTCGGTTTTAGAAACTATAAGAAGAACACCGTGATGAAAGTCAGATTCAGGAAACAACCTCCCAAAATATAAAAACTGCACTAATACGTTGTTAACATACCAGTATACTATGAACTATATAATTTGATACCTGTGTTTTGGCTTATTAAGAAAAGCAAATCAGTGATAATGACTAAGTTAGCAAAGATTACAATATTCATTGCAATTATTTAATACCCAAACTGATTAGAATTCTTCCGAATTTCCTTCTGTGTCTCCAAACTATGAGAGATTGATGAATTCTTTCAAGAAGGAAATCTTGGAGCTTATGATTTTTTTAAAAAAGAAAAGAACATAAAAAGACAGAATTTGCACTCAAACTCCGATGTTAAGGATCTGTGATTTGTGATGTATGAAGCAAGCCGAGGTCAAAATTAACTCCTGATGTGTTCTTAAAATTATTATGACCATCTGTTTTCCAGTATATTAATGCAGAACAAATCTCTGAAAAATGTTCCTCATTACCGAGATAATAATAATTCAGAGTGTTGTACAAATTGTGTTTATTTAATTGCTGAATCTTAAACAGCCTTTGATGCTTCAGGGCTATCTCTTTAAAAATGTTCTATAATGTTTTGAAACAATTCTGGCTATTTTCTCTATCTTGTTTTCGTTATCTTTTTTTTCCCCTGATAATTCTTCCATAAGTCAGTTAAATGGAAACATAATTTTTACTTTTAAAAGTTTATTCCTACTACTGTATTTCTACCTTAAGTTATAAATTCTGTTTTTATCATGAGGTGCCATGGGGATGAATGAGCTGCTTTTTTATATATGAGGGGCAGTTTTCTGGTTTTGTGATTTGGGAAAGAAGAGCATCCAATTTCACAAAATCCCTTTCACGTTCTTTTTTAAAACAAAGCCGAGAAGAGTAGGAATGAGAAACAGGCCCTCTAATGATGATTGCCCAAATGCCTTTTCATAAGCTTTGTCATTTCGTCCCTGTAGCTGTAGTATTATGAGTATATATCCTTCTTTTCATGGTACAGGTTTGGAGCAGCAACAGAACTAAGAAACAAACGCATTAAAGTGGGGCTTGTAGAGTATCCAATGGCTAATCAAGATAATGTACCAGTACCCTTTGGTCATTGGACTGTAAACTCTCTGAAACTAGAGACTACTGCTGTTTTGCTGTTGTATCTCCAGTGCCTAGCGCGTGGTACCAGGTCAACAATTTTTATTTAGAGAGTGAGGTTGGCAGTCCCACTTTCTTTTACTCTCTTTATCTAGGTGTGCCCATACCATCAGGTTTGTGACTTTTATGCTTAGTTAAGGAATTGAAGACTTCTTGGGGGTGATAATTCGACTGTTGGAGCTTGTTAAGGAAGGAACGCCTGAATTTTGGGCAATCCTGTGTGCTGCCAAAAGGGACAAATCTGGTGCAAGGATGGACAGATGGATAAATAAATTGCAGTGGATTATTTTACAGCTCTATGAGTGCAATAGGAGGAGAGAGCCAGAGACTTTCAAAAGAGATTTGAAATAAGTACCAATTTCAGTGACCTCGCAGGGCTACTATGAAGGGCCTATGCTTTGAATCATATGAAGTATGGTAAATATGCCAGAAACGACTGTTGAGGGTTTGAAACTGTTAATCACATGCATCCCCTGTCCAAATTCTGAATCAGTGGAGGAGGCTTCATTTCTGCCTGTTTTGATTAAAGAACATAGCAGGAATGAGAACTTAGAATAGGCTTCCTAATAACTTACCCAGCTGGTTGCATGGAAGATAGTAGCTGACCTTGTAGCTTATCAAGTGCAGAAAGGCCAAGTGGCACATTGAGCCTTTAACATGTTAGTCCTAGCCAAGAGAGAAATAAAGACCAATGACAGTTGCACTTTGGCAGCCTCAACAGCCAGAGAAATCATTCCTGTGATGGTTAATATTAGAACTCTAATACACCCTCCAAAGGGAGGAAGCTACCAAGAGAGGCAACCAGGGGTAGATTCTTTCTTTCCATTACCTCTGGGAGAAAAGTAATGATTTCTATTAACATTATTTTCCACATTATTATCGTGGCCTCTCTTCTCTTTTCAGTGACGCAGAATTCAGCTCTCTGTGAGGACATTACAGGCACAGGCTTAGTTTCTAACTCATAGAGTTGAGTTAGAAAAGCAATGGTATAACTTTAGCATTATTCCTCTCTGGCTTCCATAACTCATTCTAATGACACCAGATATTAAACTCTGAACCCTGGTTATTCCATACTCCGAATATTCTTCCTAGTAGGAAGAGGTAGTTCCTACCTCACTAGGAACTCCACAAACCCTGTAGGAAGGATTGGGTGGAAGTACCTTTAGTGAGTTAGGTGAGTATAAAAACTCTAGAGACATTCTTTTTACAGATTTTGCCCTCTTTTGACTTCTTTTCATAGTTCACCGAGACCATCACATTGCCATAAAATTAGAAGGACACAAGCTACAAAACTTAATCTTCATAGTGTTTAGGTAGTTCGCCTCTCTGTTGTTCACACACACACACACACACACAGAGCCAAAAAAATATGATTGCATGATTTATAAACATTCCTACATAAATGTTGGATGGAGATCGTGTGTATATGTACACTTATTCAAGGATCATTATTATGAGACAGTCATGACAACAGTGGTGACAATTATAAGCTGATTACGTATATAATTGACAACACAAGTGCACAAAAGTTGTATTCCACTTGTTTCAGTTGTGTTAATATAAGTGGCATTCTGTATTTTTCAGCAAGTGAGACTTCTAATCAAGGCACAAATAATCTTCTAATTAACTGCCTTTGATCCTCTGAAATAAAATGTAGTTTTGTTTAGGGAAATGAAGTAGGTGTTAGAATCATCCCAGCCTTTATCAGGAGGTCAATCTCTCCTCTTTTCAATGGCTTTGTTATCAAAGCCAGAAAATTAGTGCTTACACATTGTAAACCTCATGCAATCACTGAGTAAATCATGCTGAATTGCCAGTTAGCTATATCTTCTAAATTTGTATCCAGTGGCATCAATTGTCATCACAATCAGTTTGTAAAGGCATTTCCCTGCCAGTGATTTTTAAGCCTGACTGCACAATAGAATCAACTGCAAGGTTTTTAAAAACCACAAATGCACAGGTTCCCATTCTGTATCAATTTAATAAGCACTCAAGAGGTGGAACTCCACAGTAGGTGATTCTAAATGTCTATCAGGGTTGAGAATCATGGACATAGAACAAAGATCAGAAATTTTTTTCTATAAATGTCCAAATGGGAAATATTTTAGTCTGTATGGCTCTCTGTCACAGCTACTGTGCCATAAATGCAAACATGCACAATATGTAGACAAATGGATATGGCTGTATCTCAATAAAACTTTATTTATAACCAGAGGCACTAAGCTAGGCTTGACCTGACATTAATACTTCAAATTAACAACATATTAATACTTAATTTAGTCTCAGAATCCAGTAATGAATTTAATAAATGAGAACCACTGTGTTGACAGATGGCAAAATATACTAAAGAAAGCATTAGTCTTATGATCAAAAAGGTATTGTTCAAAACCTTGCTTGTACTACCATTTGCCATATAAAAATACGGAAATGTCATTTAACCTGCCTGAGATGCAGCTTCTCCACTTCTAAAATGGGAAAAACGGCACTTAAGTCAAAGGACCATGGTGCTGCTGGATTCTCATGAAAATTGAATAGTTTCTCTAGCTAATAGTGCCTTTTATTCATTGAGCATTTACCATGTGTAAGACACTGTTCTAATTATTTTTTATTCATCAACTTATTTCATTCTGTTCTGAAAAAAAAGAGAAAAGTGGCAAATACTCTTTTTCAATGAAATTTCAACATAGTGTAGAAAAATATACTCATAAATTGCTGAATTTCAAGGGGGAATATGGTAAATGCTAAGAGATTTGCAACAATATATTAGGTTTCATAGATGGGGAGGTCAAATGCAGGTGAGTTAATTAAAATCTTCAGAAAAAAAACTGGTGACAAAAACTGATAGCTAAAGTCTATGTATAATTTCATTTTGCAGATCTAGGAGAAGTAGAAGGAAAAGTATGGGGAAAAAATGTGGAAGCAGGAAAGCACTGGATATGTTTATAGATAGAAGCCAGCAGTATGGAGCTATAGTAGCAGAGTCGAAGGTGACAGGCAGGAAAGTTAGAGTCAGAACGTGCAGGACTGTGAATTTCAGGTTGGGCAGTTGAAATTATTTATTAATCAATAGAAACATATTTAAAGTTATAAGAGATAAGTGCTATGCTCTCAGCTATGATTTGGAAAAATTAATCCGACAGTGGCGGATATATTAGAAAGGGTGGAAACTGTGGTATTTTTCTTTTATTACACTCATTACATAGGGTTGTTGGAATGATTAAGTGAGTTCATATAGGTAAACCTCTTAGAGCAGTGACCTGGCAAAGTGCAAGTAGCATGTAATTGTTAGGAATTATTATGGTTCCATATAAGGTCAAGTATTTTTCTTTATTTAAATTATTATTATATTTTTTGCTTTGCCTAGTTTAACATAGCCCTAGAAGGTGATTATAGATGTATGTGCATCTTATATTCATTACTGATTTTAAGGAACATGCCAAAACTTGGAAATAAGTCAAAGGTGGTGATGAGTCTGTCAATGCCATACTTGTTTGCTGTTTAATAAACCTGTTCACACATTATTTAACTTAGACCTAATACCTTTGACAATGGAGCCACAGAAAGCTTTGAGCAAAGGTGGGACCCATGCACAAAACTTGGGAATTCTCAAGGAAGAGATGATTTATGGTGGAGATGTGGTAAATTGAATTTGACTGTGTTCAATTGGAGGTATTCAGAACAGAGCCATCTTGCAGGCAGGTGGAAATGTGGGAGTTAATCAAAACCAAATGGGATTCTAAGTGCTCGGAAGTTGGAATAAAAAGAGAGAACCTGTATTTTCAGAAACTGGATAACTGTAAAAACCATGAAAAATTTCTGTGCAGAAACTACCTCTTCCTTTCTTGTTGGCTCAAGATTTGGTCACAGCAAAGCAAATGATAAAGCATATACTTGATTGTGCATGAAGCCTAATTCACTCCAGCAAAACCCTAATCTATTCCAACTACTATGTTTAGGGTAAGATTTTTTTCAACCTGTCACCATTTAAGCAAGTTTTACTCAATACCTCTTTGATGAGATCTGCATTTCGTAGTAATGCAGATCTGTTTTTTTTTTTCTGTTTTCTCATCTCATGGTTAATACATTTTTATATGCTTTAAAAAATTTACTCAAGGAGAATGAACATTAAACATTTGAAGAAGTCAAAACAATCAATCATGAAAAATTAAAATGAGAAAATGCTCAAAAAACCCACATAGCTCTCTGTACTTTTTCCTAGGGAATAGTGGGCTCATCAGTGATATAGTCCAAAAATTACTGTCACTTAAAAGTTTCGTAACAAATGGTAGAAATGAGAGAAGGTTAAATGAATGGGGAGCAATTGTTGAGGGTAATTGTGAACCAGAAAAAGTTTCTGAGATGAATATTCATACATCCATTTATTTTTTTAAGTGTGTGACCTATACCATATTACAGTAGAAGAGACTAAAAAGAGATAGGTAAGTGAGAAAGCTCTTGAAGTAGTACATGAGGTTGTAAATAATAGAAAAATATAAGAAAAATTGCAATAGTAGAACTGATAATGCTTAGCAAATGGTTAGATAAAAGTAAGCAATAGTGAGAAATAGGAATCAAAGGCCATACATTTTTTTTAAGCCTGAGTAGCCTGAGGAATGCTGGTCCTAGTAAACGTCAGAATTGCTGGCAGAACACATGATTTTGTTGTTTGTTCTGGAATGGGGACGGGTTTGAACATGAACATTACATGTTAAAAACATTTCGAGAAAGGAGAGATGATCATAAAGAGATGATTGGGGAACGGAAAAGGGCTTGGGTTGATCTTAGGGTTGGATTTAAACCGGCAAAGAGCATGCCTTTGTTTTGCTAACACACTAATTATATGATCCACCAGTGGACTCCAAGTTCCAGATTCTTGTGCAGTCAGGCTTAAAAATCACTGGCAGGGAAATGCCTTTACAAACTGATTGTGATGACAATTGATGCCACTGGATACAAATTTAGAAAATATAGCTAACTCGCAATTCAGCATGATTTACTCAGTGATTGCATGAGGCTTACAGTGTGTAAGCACTAATTTTCTGGCTTTGATAACAAAGCCATTGAAAAGAAGAGAGATTGGCCTCCTGATAAAGGCTGGGATCCTTTCTCGAATCCAACTTCTAGGAAGCATCATTACAAGAGATAGAACTTCCATAGTCAGTCCTTGTCCCAATAGGAATCCCATATACTTGATGGGCCACTGCCTTAGGATCACCAAGGGGAGGGCGGGGGTGGGGGTGGGGAGGGTGTGTCTGTGCAATGAGTGGGAAGCAAGAAACTCCCAGACCCATTACAGCTGCTAGAAAACCGTAGGCTCTTTATCCAATGCATATACCATCTTCTGATGTTGTTTGTTTCTTTTATTTTTAATTTTTGTTTTGATTTTTCTTCTTAGACAACTCAAGACTCCCTACAACATGCTTGCCAATTTCTCTAAATAAATGCCTGCTAATATCACTGTAGCAGTTTAGAAAAGTACAGGCTTTGGAATGCACTACTCTCAAAATATCTGGGTGGCCCAACCTTCTGCATCTCACCTTCCTATCTCATTGAGAAATTAGTGGGGTTTTTTGTTGTTGTTTGGGGAAAGCTATAATTTTTGCTAAGCTTTGTCCTACACATTCAGCTAGCCTAAGAAATGTAATGGCAACTAACAATAGATTGTGGTTAAGTAGGTTGTAGGATGGTGCTGCTGCTGTTGACCACTGTTTAGAGTGATTGAACTAAATCCGCCATTGTTCTGTGACTGCAGTCATATTCTCCCAGCAAAAGAAACCTTCACCAAAACAAAGCAAACACACACACACACACACACACACACACACACACACACACACACACACAGAGCCAGGGAATGTCTTCCTACCCAATTAGTTTCACATAACTAGTTCGTAATCAATTGTTGGGATACTCAGCTGGCATTGTTACTTAGTATTTTTAGCCTGTAATTTTCTTTCTAGTCCTGTACAGTGAGCACATTTCTCAATTGTGATAAAAAGCTGACGCTTTATTCAGTTATACTCAATTCTGCTTCTTTCTCTGGCCTTTCTGAAAAATTATTCTTTAAGTGAATAATGTCAACATTGTTGTCTCCATAACCTACTATAATCATGTCTTGTACCAGTTTTAACAGTGGCTGTTGATCTAGTTAATTTAAATGTCATTAGTTGCTTAATTGAATTAACCAGATTTGTGTTGGTAGTTAAAGACCCTCTTATACTTCCCAAGGATGATTTATTATCAAGTTAAAGAAAACCATTCTGTTTGACAGCAGCAAACACTTTCTCTTATCTTCTCCATTCATTTTTTTTTAATCAGTATTGTTCATTTCTGGTAGCTTTCCAGTTCGGGAGCAATTTCCAATTCTACGATCACTCAAAACATGCAAATCTTTACTTAGCTGTGTCTTTATCCTGTTCCCTTTAAAAAAAAAAGTAGCTTCCCTATTCCATAATGAGACAAATAGCCTGCTGTAGAGGGGGAGATTAAATAAACCCATCTCTATTTTGCTGCGACTAGTGACACCACAACCAGGCACCCTCTCACCGGTAATTATTATGTGGCAGCTTTCATTTCAGAAGGTAACAATGAACGGAATCACGCCCATCTGTCTCTAACACTGCTGGCATGTCAATAAGAGAAATTGCAGGGGGGGGAAATCTGTCTGAAACAAAACAAACAAAGCATTCAGGGTTCCTAGGAGGGTTTTTATCAGCACAAACACTAACAGTTTGGTGATGATGACTCATAGAAGTATGAATAAAGAGGCTCTTATTCTTGGTAGGGGTGTTATAAAAGCAGAATATCATGTCACATGCCAGGTGTTGGTGGGGACAACATTTTATAAATATAGGTTCTTTCTTAGAGAAAAAATGTTATTCTTTGTTCACTTGGTGCTATCATTATCTCCTTATATTTTGCACTGCATTTAGGTTAAGGTGCTCATCATTAACTCCTTAGAACACTTAGCATTTCCTACTCTTCAACTGAATGCAAACTAATTCAAAGGGTGTTAAGCTATAGGAAATCTTTTGCACACCTCCCTTCCTCAAAGTCATATCATTACAAAGCCCAGTATTGGAGTTTGCTCTAGGCATAGCTATGCTCAGGACCTCAAGTAATTTCATTAGAGCTTAGTCTGTTTCTCTCTGTGTAACTTCTGTCCTATCCTTGGGTTGTGTTCTAAGCAGGTTTCTACCTTCTTATGGTATACACAGCACTGGGTTTTTACCTATCAGCTGAACAAAACAAACAATTCCCATACATGTATTTCAATGGCTGGGGTCCTAGGGCCATCTTTGAATCAGTTACTCTAACTGGATTGCCTAAAGTGTGTCTAATTGGCTAGGCATGGGTCAAAATTTGGAATGAAAGTAGAAGACAGATGGGTTCCCTTTGAAAAATCAGGGTGTAGTTATTGGTGTATGGGTAAATGGATGCCAAACATACACAAACAACTAATTTCCAAAATCCATCAGTGTTTGAAATGTATTAACTCATGGGTTTTCTTGGCTTCCTTTGTAAAACAAAACCCCTTTTAGTCCTTGGGCAGAGCAAATCCTTTGCCACCTCCTGTTTTCATAGTATTCAAATGTACTTTGACCACGGCCTTCACTACATTGTTGCATAATTATAATTGACATTACTATTTCTTAGACGTCTGTCTCTCCCACTGAAAAGTGGGATCCACAAAGACAGATAAATATTAAGGTTTTTTTCAGTCTGGTATAAATTCCAGTAGTGTCAAATAGTAGAACCTCAATAAATGTTCATAGTGCAATGGTAGTTGGTTCACATAGATTTAAACCATTGGACTCTGGTTGCCTTTTTGTTTTCTTATAGTGAGTTTAGGCTATTTTTTCCCTGAGAAGAATTCATGAATAGATTTTGCTTTACTCTGTATAATCAACAATAAAATAGGTAAGGGAAGCCTATGCTATCTCCTCCAAGAAGTCTTGGGTTCTCTTCTCCCAATAGATCATTGACTTTACTATCTGTGTTAATTAATAATATCCTTTCTTGCTAACTTAACACCATTTTATGTGTTTTAAAAAATCATGTACAGTCAACTATATTGAAATGCCATATCTTACCTCATACTTCCAAAGCTCTTCAGAGCAATTACGTCATTGCTTGCTTAATAAATGAAAAGTGTGAAATACAAGAAATAAAAGGAAAGAAAATCTATTAGGAAATCTGAAACGACTTAAAAGACTCAAGCTCAGTATATACACCAGTGACATAAACTAAAATATCAATAGTCAAATCTGCCTGAAGGTAAATACGGGTGACATCTCTTACATTTCCTAATTTTCTATCACAGATATGTTTTATTTGTATTGTTAGAGAAAAAAATCAGGTTTTAAAAAATTCTAAAGGAGTTGATTTGGCCTAGCATAACCTAATTCTAATTCTATAATTTTGACATAAATTATCCTTTTGTGTGTGAGTTTGTGTATGTATACCTATGTGTGATTATATATGGTTTGTAAAAAACTACAAATCAACTTCTTATCAAAGATGTTACAAATTCTGCACTAGTGGTGTTTTAAATTAATAATGTCTTATACTTTGGGATTTACTATTGTATTAATTCCCATGTAAAGTTCAATAGGTAACAATTTCTTTGCCTATATCTCTCCCAAGACATATGAATAGTATTTAAATAATAGAGTGATTATCTTAAAGCATTGTATCATAACTCAGTGGAGAGATAGAAGACCTAATAATGGATGTTATTTCCCTAAGCGCTGGGTTAAATGTTAGGCAAGGAAAGTATCACAGGCAATTTGTGATACACATATCTGATGAGTGTCTCAAGTGCCCTCTATCCTTCCATTTTGATTAAAGAGAGATATTCATGCTTTAGAGTATTACATGTATAGGTGGGATAAGTTTAATTTTTATTCATATATTCTCTTCTACTCTTTATGGATTAAATAAAGGAATAAGATAGTCAAAGGGATTAAGTTTACACTTTCCTGGATAAATCATTTAGTTGAGACTCCAGATTTTTGTGCTGCTTAATATAGGAAAGATAATTTTTATATGACAATATTAATGGTACGTGTTTCAAACTCATGGCCTGAACTATATAGATGTCTCATGTCAAATGGTCATTGAAAAAATTTACAGATTGTCTAATACTTGTCTGGCTCTGAGCAGGGTGCTTGGGACAGGTGAGGCATAACACACAGCATCTGTCATCAGAAACCTGAAAATACGGTAGAGGAACATAATAGAGTTTGTTAAATACAATAATGACTGTAGTTCAACAGACTTCAGTGGCTGGCTTGGGGTTCAGGGGGCAATTGGTAAATGAGTTAGGTCAAAATAGCCTGTAAGAGTTTGCCAGTGGGCAGAGGCAAGTTGTGTAACATACAAGGAGAGCTATTTGATCTGCAATAGAAATGTTGAGACTTCCAAAATGTATGGTGCCTATTAGCATGACTTTGATCACAATTAGATTCCCAATAGTAAACAGATATAAAATTAAATTTTTTTATGATTGGTCATTGATTTTTTGGAGAATGCCTACTAAATACAATGATTTTTTTTGTTATAATATAGTATTAAGGTCATCTGTTTCACTATAATTTACCTCAGTCCAATATCTTAAAACACCTTGAAATTTCCTAACTTTATAATTGTAAAGTTATAAATCATTATCAAAGTACTCTTAATTTTTATTTGCTAAGGCTGTAAGCTTGCTTTTAAATGATATAATTTCAAGTTTTAAAAGTATGATAATGATAATCTATATCTAATATGATACAGAGAAATATTTTGTAATGTAACCTGTAAATGCGATGTTTTGCCCATTTCTGACTTTGACAATTTCTTTTAATAGGAAGAATTTGAGACACATTACTAATTTAGGATTTGTACTAAGATTGTAAAACTTGGTCTAGCTATCATCTGTAGAATCTAAGGCTGACAAGAGGCTAGATAACAGTATAAACAATCTTCCTTTGTTCTTTCTCATTTTCTCAGTGATGTTAAAGAAATGCAGGAATGTTTAATGATAAAAAAGTTGTACTTAAAACTAGTTGCTCCTTATGAATGACATTAGATTAAAAGTTCTAATCTAGGCTGAGCGGCTGAGCGTGGTGGCTCACACTTGTAATCCCAGCATTTTGGGAGGCCAAGGTGGGTGGATCACTGAGTTCAGGAGTTCGAGACCAGCCTGTCCAACATGGTGAAACCCCATCTCTACTAAAAATAATAATAACAATAATACAATAATTAGCCAGCCATGATGGCAGACATCTGTAATCCCAGCTACTTGGGAGGCTGAGGCAGGAAAATCACTTGAACCTGGGAGGTGGAGGTTGCAGTGAGCCAAGATTGCACCACTGCCCTCCACCCTAGGCGACAGGGTGAGATTCCATCACAATAATAATAATAATAATAATATAAGTTCTAATCTAGCTTTTTTTAAAAAAAGAAATCAGCATCAAAGTTCAAAGTACTGTCTTACATATTAATGGGCTCAAAGTTTTTAAATACATATTAGAAGCATGTTTTCTCTACTCTTGATGTTTCTTTTCATGTGGATTAATACCAACTAGTACAGTATTTCTCATTTCTCTTTGCATTTTTACTCTGCCCCAGAGAGATGGAGAGATCTCTTCTCTTCCTTCTATCAGGGTAATATACTCAAAGACTTATTTGCTTCTACTCTCTCTGCCGTATTTCCTAAGGGGGGCTGCCTCTCACCTGGAAGGAGCAGGAGATACCCTGTCCAGGGATACCTGATACTGAGGGTGCTATTGCATAGTTATGAAGGTCATTGTTAGGGTAATTTGCCCAGAAATACTCAACAGATTTATGAGTAATAAAGATATTTCTGGTCTCTACTTGGTTTATTCCCTTACAACAACTTTTAATTAATACAGAACTCTGCAGGGAGAGAGGAGTTTTTGTTTGGTGTCCTCAAATTCCACCAATGTGATTGTCTGAAGTAATCTGTCTTATTTTACAGTCCCACAGAGGCAGATTCTGAGACAAATATTTGATTGCAAATAGATTAGTAAAGAAATCAGGGAAGGGAGATGGAAAAGCGTAGGAGGTAAATAAAGAATGTGTAGCTTAATAAGCTACTTTCCATGGTAAACAACTAGGGTGACTCATTGTGAGTTTAACTGGAAAACTCTAAAATAAATAGTGTGGAACATGGACCCAGAGTTATACCAATGGAGAAGTGATGAAATTGGGCCATATATACACCAATTGTCTTCAGTCATTATTTGGGGGCTGCTCTTAGTGGGCATTAATTCCCTGATACTTCATGCTACAGGGAAGAGAGGCAGAGAGGCTCTGGAGTCCCAAGACAGACATGAATGGCAAACGTATCCATGTGCCAGCAGTTGAAATTCTAGTCCATGTACACTGAAATAGAAAAGAGTTGGGTGGCATGTTATAGGGCCCAACAGTGGACAGTGTCTTCTATAGAGCTGGACATGTAGGCTTTATTAGGTATTAGGTAAATTATATAGTTGGCATAGAACCCCACAATTAAAATAACACATCCATTCTTCTGATGTTGAGATATCCTGAAAGCTGTTTAATGTGACTAATAAATATTTTTTAGCTGATTATAATACCATATCTCTGCTTTAGAGAACCAATATATAAAATTTGGAAACTTTTTGTAAAGTCAAGTTTGCCTCCCTGCTAAGCTAACATTGAATGCTTACCAGGTATGTCATAACATTAGTTATTTTTCTTATACATTTCTGCATTCAAAACTCAAAATTCTGTCCTAGCATATTATCTCTACAAGCAAGTATATTATCTCTATAAGCTGGTGTGGTGCAGCTGAAATTTGAGAGATATTAAAGTCAAGTAGAACTAGATTCAAATTCTAGCTGTGTCACTGAATAGCCATTGTCTCTGGTCAGGTTATTTAACTTCTGTGACCTTCAGGTTCTCAACCTATATATTGGAGATGATGCTAAACACCTATCAGACTATTAAATGAAGTAATGCATCCACATTATCAACAGAGAGCTTGTCATGTAGTAGACATCTAGCGAAATGTTTTTTCCCAGCACCATTTTTATATGAGGAAATGGAGCCTTAGGAAAGTAGATTTTTAAAGGTCAGACCTTTAAAAATCAGCTTTGGATCCAATATTAAATCCATATCTCCCAAAGTAGATACGATAGTACCAGTCATCAGTAGATCTGTGCCACTGCTTTTTCCTATTTATAGCAGGTGCCATACCATTGGTGACTATAATTATTTTCCCAGATTAAACAAAGACCTCCCATTGATATCTATTACAATCCAATTTATGTTTCAGAAGTTGAAATTGCTAATTTAGTGATTTCAACACAAACTTTTAATCTGGATCTTAGCTTTGTGTGAAGTGCTTGCTATTATTTTGCTGTATCTTGTGATGGGGCTGGCATATATTTAACCCCATTGATGACACTTGAATCGTATTAAAATGATGTAGCTAAGAATTTGGGCTCTGAAGCTAGACTCTGTGGCTTTGAATCCCAGTCTGTCATTTACTAGCTGTGTTTGTGTCTCAATTGCTTCATTTATAGAGCATGCAGAGTACCTTTCTCCACAGAGTTACTATACAGATCAAAAGAGCGAATACATGTAAAGTGCCTAAAATGGTGCCAAGTCTATAGTAAAAGTTCAACAAATGTTAGTTATTATTTAGTAGAAAGGATTCCTTAAAAATGTGTGATTATACTGTAAGATTAATCTATAAAGAAATGTGGGGTTAGGAGGTACTTGACTGGAAATTTAAGTCCTTGGAATAGCAGTAGAGAAGAAAGGAAGAAGAAAAAGATCCTACCAGAAATATGTGTATCTAACAATCAAGGGAAAGCCACATAAAACAAGAACAAGATTGAAATTACAGCGAAAGGAGTTTGGGACTGTTTCCTCCCAGCACAGTGTTTCCCTAAGCCTCCAGTCAAAAACAGGCTGGTTGACATGATTATTTAGTGGCCAGTAAATTCCTAAAAAATGAGAACAAAAACAATTAATTTGGTACCTAGGAGATGATACCAGATGTGACAGAGGGCAAAAATGGCAGCCCTTTGTGACAGACCTAAAAATGTATTTACTACCTTTACCTAAGATATTATGTGTTCTGCATGAAGCAGTCATGAGAAGGAATGAGTCACTTCCCCAGGAAGCGCATATCCGAGGAATTTTAGGTGATACAAATAGAGTCTGAGTAAGGAAATGGTGAAACACCATCTCCTATCTTATTTTAATCACTTTCCTCTTCTGGCCCTGGGATCCAACCTGCCTCAATGCTGTTAAACCAGCGACTTTCCATGTGGGGTTTTCCATTGTTTCTAACCAGTGAGGATGAGGTCCGTACCCAGTCTACCCTGGAACTCAACTCCAATTTTGCATAAAATTCTTTTGCAAAGTTCTCCCTCGACACCTGCCAATCAAGGACCATCTTTATAACCTTTGTTACAGAATGTTTGGGGAATTTCGCAATGGCCACAGAATGTACCAAGACAGTGCTGCTTGAGAGGCTGCCACTCCCAGGGAATTCTGAGGACCTCTGAGGGAAGTTGTTTCATTCTAGATGCCAACCTTGTATCATCTCATCTCTAAACTCATTGTACTATTACACAAACTGAGTTTATTACAGTGTGTGTGGGTGTTAACAGAGAAACAAAGAGCATACTAGCATACTATGAGAGTATATCATAGAAGCTGAGCTAGCCTGGTAAGAGACATTTACTGTGCCCTGAATTCGTGAGAGTGAAGTAGGAAGAAACTGCCAGAGGTAGAACTCCAAAAACAGAAGGCTGTTTTTTTTTTTTTTTTTTTTTTTTTTGCATTTGAAGAGTTGGAAGAATTTTGGTACAGCTTTATGGGATCAGTTAAGTCTAGTAGACTGCTAGAGATTGGAGGTAAATAGACCTCTGTGGCCACAGGTAAAAGCAGATTCTGAATTCAGATGGTCCATAGGCTTGTCTAAGTTCATGTTACTCTCTAAAGCATTATTTGCAAGCACATGTTTTGGGTGGGATGCATGTTACACACCTAGATGAGAAGGTAAGAGGGTATCATGAAGGTTATAGAAGTAACAAGACAATTCTTAGACCTCTAAATCCAAGCTTAACCATCTGCTAGCTCTCTGGAGGACTGATTTTATTCTTATATGGTGGTACATTTATTTTGTTTCATATGTTAATTCAACACTAAAATTTACCATATTGACTATATTTACTAAATTACAGACATAGTTGTATTATATTCTTGTGTTTTAAGGCCTCTTCCGAGTAATGCCACCTTTTGTCTACTGTTTAACCATTTAATGCCAGGTTCTCATGGGAATCAAAATAGGCAATTATAAGTGACCCAAATGAAATCATGAATTTAGATGGACTTTCTCTGCAATTGTAGATAGAAACACAATGGCAGTAGGAAAGACTGAATGAGGATGAGAGAAAACATGCTACGGATATCGGAATTTGGCCTAATGGTGGATCTGTAATGGAGATGGTAGCTCTACTAAAGGGAACCACACCCATAATTATCTATCAGTCCATGAGTGTATAGAACATTTCTGTACTCTGTAGTTTTTGGCTTTTTATACCTTGCCGTATATAATGAGTACAAGTGTGGCTTAAATGAAATAGGCTTTGACCCTTGGTAAACTAGAGAATAGACTTCAGTTATGATTTAACCAACATCGCATGGTAAACTCAAGAATAGCTATACATCCATGAATTAACAAACACTATGTGAAAATGTTACATTCAGAAAGGAAGACCTATTCCACTAAAATTTCCTTCCCTGTAAGGGAAAGATCTATTTCTATCAACTCTGGTCAGACTTTGGGGATATAAGATTCATACAGAAAAATATCAGGACACAACATTAAACCCTGAACATATTCTTTCATGGTTTTAATGAAGTGATCAAGAATAGAAAGTATCTTGGATGGATTCCAAAAATATTCAATAAAATGAAAGCAAGGAAGCATTTATGATACAGTGATACTAACGAGATTATTTCTGAATGGATATAACCAACAGGAGCACAGTCAAAGCTGTGGCAGGCTGGGGGCAGTGGCTCAGGCTGTAAGCCCAGCACTTTGCAAGGCCAATGTGGAAGAATTGCTTGAGCCCAGGGGTTCAAGACCAACATGGGCAACATAGTAAGACCCCCATCTCTATAAAAAATTTAAAAATTAGCTGAGCATGGTGGCACACACCTGTAGTCCCAGCTACTCGGGAGGCTGAGGTGGCAAGATCCCTTGAGCCCAGGAGGTTGAGGCTACAGTGAGCTGAGATGGTATCACTGCACTCCAGCCTAAGTGACAGAGTGGAACGTGTCTCAAAAAAAAAAAAAAAAAAAAAAAAAAGTGGTAATTTTGGGGAAGGGAAAAAAAGTGTGTTTTATCTTCTGTGTTTCTATCATTTCCCAGCACGTTTGTCACGAATCTGAGCTGGAAGCAGGCCCATGCCACCCAGAGTTGGCTATGCTTGGGAAATCAGTAAGGATCAGTATAACCAGAAGCTATGTAATCCATGCCTTAGCGTGCCGATGGTATTCTGGACCTGATTTACACATTGTTTTTGTTCCAAAATGTGGCGTAATTTGGTTGTTGCAAATTCTTAACACATTTCTTTTAGAATGATAATTCCTTTGTCAGACCAGGATCCCCAAACTGATTTAACATGTAATGCAACTGAATATATATAATACTGGTGTGGTGGTTGAATTTTTGAAGCACAGAATCAAAAGATGGAGAGAAGAGAAAGAGTAAGAGGAGAAGATGAAGTGAAAGTGAAAGATAAGAGGAAAAGAAAAAAAAAGAAAGAACAAAAAGGGGTGAGGATCTAAATAGAAGGTAGCACCATTTCTTCCCCATTCTAGAGGAGATGGCTGACTCTAGGCAAACTGAAGAAGAAGATTTATTTTGGGAGCCTCTTTTGTCTCTCTACTTCTCTTACCTTCTACTTGTCATCTAGGCTTTTATATGTTCCTAAACCTCCCACTGTGATGGCCCACTCTTGCCTATCTTCCACCCCACCATGTCTCATGCCCCAAGAGTACACCCTCCTTTCCTGTCCCATCTCCTTGGTACTTCTGGTCTTATCTATTTGTCAAATAAATGCAAACTGAATAATTCACACAGGATTCAGAGGTACTGATAGAATGATAACACTCCCAATAGCATTTTTATTTTTTAAGAACCATTTTTATTTAACACAATTTGTTTAATTAATGTGATTTCAGATGGCTTGAGGATAAGTGAACACATTTAGGTGGTATAGAGGGAAGATAATTTCAGGCTTGGGAGCCCAGTAAACACACAGAACAACATTGCTCAGGAGATTGTTCACAAGCTACTTGCCCTTGCCTTTCATTACTTAACCCAAAGAATTTTTAAAAATTCTTAGGTTTTTCAAAAGGACCTCTATGCTGTTTCTTAAGTTTTTCTCTTTTTCTCCCATGAGATCATTAGTGCCATTGAAGGTACGACAGTGTTAAGTCACCTTACTCTTTTTTTACTCCTCCCTCCATCTTGCAGCTTATACATGACAATAAATGTTCATTGTTTAATAATATTTAAATATGCAATACCATTTTCTCTACTTTTCTTCTAAGTGTCAAAGCATTTGAAATATTTTTAGTATTGCTTTTCAAAGAAAAGAAAGGATAGCTTTCATTCCTCCTTCTAAAAATAGAAAGAGGCTGGACATGTTGGCTCACACCTGTAATCCCAGCACTTTGGGAGGCCACTATGGGTGGATCATCTGAGGCCAGGAGTTCAAGACCAGCCTGGCCAACATGGTGAAACCTTGTCTCTACTAAAAATACAAAAATTAGCTGAGTGTGGTGGCACATGCCTGTAATCCCAGCTACTGGGGAGGCTGAGGCAGGAGAATCGCTTGAATCTGGGAGGCGGAGGTTGCAGTGAGCCAAGATTGTGCCCATGTACTCCAGCCAGCTTGGGCAACAGAGTGAGATTCTGTCTCAATTAAAAAAAAAAAAAGAAAAAAGAAAAGAAAATAAATAAAAATAAACATAGAAAGCAAGCCATGGCATGTTGTCATTTATCTATGATTTTAAAAAAAGGAAACTTCCAGTGAAATTACCATATATAGAAACATATGGATCTGCTTTTATAACATAGGCCATTTTCCCTGGACATAGAATTGAGACAACTTTAAATCCATTTCCAGACTGAAACAAACTTTGTCTCCTCTTCGAAATAAAGGGAACTTTGAGAACAGGTCTCTTTTAAATAATCAAAGGCATCAAATTTTCAAACAGCTCACTGCCATTCTTATGGTATTTGATATAGAAGAGGCTGGGATGGGAAGAGAGACTTCTAGTCACTGGAAAGATCTGCATCCTGAAATGATCTAGGAGGCATTCAGCCAAGAGAGAGATAAAAAGATCGTGACTCTAACACAGAGGGATTTTGATTATTTCAGCATGTGGTCTAATAGGCAACAAATTCAGCAAGATGAGGATTAGCATAATGTAATGAGACCAGAATTAAAGAACCAGAAAGCTAAAAAGAAACTAGTGAGAAGATTTTACACTTAGGCAGACAGATCAGGGTAGAATATGAGAGAAGGAGCAGAAAATTTCTGTCAACTAGACACCATATTCTCCTAGAATCAACCCCTTTCTTAATAGAGAATTCCTCTGAGGCAGGAGCATCATAAAAACTAAGGTATTTCATAGATATTTCTCTGGGTGTCAGGATATTTTCTTTTCTTATATAACTCAGACAACTTAGGGGAAATGGGACTGTTTTAAAAAAAGACAAATTAAATTCTATTCGTGAATGGACCAGTAACAATGCCAAGTCGTCAGAATTTTAAAACTATGAAGAAAGATGGAAGACATTTGCTTCATAATTACGGGAATTTGGGTGACATCACTGGGTGCTAATTGCCTCTTCACAATTGAAGAAGGGGCTTGTTAAAATTGATTTAGTTGGATTTAACACACAGTCCAAGAGCAGGTAAATGAAAATGATGTGCTCTATAAAGAAGGTGCTATTAAGAGAAGCAGATTGCTGTTCATGAGGGGACTCCATAAAATAGGCATAAAGAGGTGATGATCAGTTACAAGCCAGAAACAATCGAATCATGTCCTAGGAGAAAAATGACAATTTATAATGTGTTTTTGAGATCCTAATGAGGAACTTATAGGCATTTCAAGTCAAGTATCATTATTTTCCTTTCTGTTAAAAAACCGTATTAACCTTATGTTGGTTGTTTGAGTATTACTACCAAGTTTTCTCTTTGCTGACCAATTGCTGTAATAAGGACATCAACCATGATGGTCAAAGGGGTGGGGAGGAGATTTGCATATTCTTGTCTTTTGCAATGAGTATGTTGTACTGTGATACATTTTACTTCAAATAAGAGGATATTTTAAGTGGGCTTTATTTTGTTCCTGGAGTGATTATGGATTATTATGCAGTGTGCCCATCAGGAATTCTTTGAGGTTATTTATCTAGCATGCACTCACATTTGAAATGATGCTGAGAAATTTACAATAACTCTGTGAACATCTTCACAACAAAGACTAGAAAATACAAAGAGAAAAGTTCTTTGTCTTATTAATGTATCTCACATTTCATGGTTTTCCTTTTCTTATTTTGGAGGATGAGGCATTTGAGACAATGCATTACATCATGTGTATGCAGTTCTTGCACCAGGTTTAGTGTGCAAGGCAGGTTTTGGTGGTTTTCTCTGTGATACAGTAGGGAGGTGGGAAAACATCTCCAAAGATTTCACAGGGAGGATAAAACATGTTGAGCAGTCATTTGTGACCCTGTTTGACCCAGGTTTGCATGTTTTTAGGTTATGAGCAGTATGCCCTTTTCTTGTATGAGTTTTGGGTGGACTTGCTATTCTCTCCAGTTCCCATGATATGGATAGGTTTTGCTTGTTTGTCTTTCTCCTTTCCTCACTTCCTTCCTCTCTCCCTTCCTCCCTCTCTTTCTTCTTTTATTTGCATCATGCATCAGATGACATATGATGTTAAAAGCAGCTTCAGATCATACCATGTGGGGATTGAGGTGGTACATTATTTCATATTCTTTTGTTGCCAGCAATAGAAATGGTCAATGTTAAACTTTACTGAAACCCTGGGATCCTGAAAACCACAATGTTTAAGAAATCCTCTTTGTGTTCTGGGAAACAGCTTCAAGGAACCACCCTTCACTATATGACTTAAATATGATTCATGGACACCCACCTTGTTTACCTATGGCAAGACCTTTTACAGACCCTACAAATTCCTTTTTCTTTTTCATTTCTTTTCTTTTCTTTTTTTTTTACTTTCATGAATAATTAGCTGAACCAATTGTTCCCACTGATCAGTTTCAACAAAATGCTTGTTAACCAAACTCTGGTTGAGTTTGTCTCCTTCCCTTAGGCCCCCTGAAGTTTGACCTATCCTCAGCCTAAGGCAGCAAACAACTCCTTAATAGCCCTCTAAGAATAGGCTAGCCTCAGGGCAAAACATTCTCTCTTCTACTCTTCATCAAGCCACCCTTTCACCCTACTTTCCCATATCTGGGTTGTTTAATCTTGTTTACTCCTCCGTTTAAAAGAAAAACTCTTTTTTCCTAACCTTTGAGAATGGTTGCAGATCTTTTGGTCAGAGCCTTCTCTTTATTGCAACAGAGCCCCTCCTCATATTACATTAACCCCTTCTCTTCCTCTATCCTTCACTGCAATAAACATTTTGAATAAAGTCTCTTCTTACTAAATCTGGATTTTTTTTTTATTTAACAAAAACATGCTAGATAAAATAGTTAATTAAGTACTGGTTTTTATTTTTAGAAAGGACAAAGTCTAGGTAGAGGTAAGAAGACTTAAAATGGAAAGTACACTGAGATCTCCACAGCTGGGACTGATCAGCTCTACACATTTCCTGGGCTTATATTATTCTTCTGAAGAGACAAATTTCAGAGAAGAAGAGTCAGCCTGGCCTGACTCATGTCACCAGTAGTCATGAAAGTCTACCTGGCTAGAAGTTGTACCAAAACCACATGCACCTGGGAAGAGGTGATTCCTCAAATAAAAGCTATAATCCTGTTCCAAAAAGGAAGGGGAAAGAAGTTGGGCTTGTAAAATCAGCAGTTTACTACTGTTGTGACACTTACCTAGCAAGCTTGGCATATGTGGACTTTCTACAGAAACAAACAAACAAAAAAAAAAGGAAATTACAGATTTGTGTACCTGTACAATGGTGCCCCTGTGCAAAGGATTCTTGTGGCTAATCTGCAAAGTAGCCACTTTAGCGTCACTTTGATATACATGTTTTCACCATTTGTCAAACAAAATATTAACAGTCATATTTATATAACATAATTCTCTCTATATAGTTATATAACATATGTATCAGGAGCCCAGCCTGTGATACTGTTGGCACCAATGAATTCATATTGGCCTGCAGCAACTGGATTCTTACCTCCTCAGAGGAAAGAATTCATTTCAGGGGCGTAAGGCAGAGTGAGAGACCGAGGCAAGTTTTTGAACAGGAGTAAAAGTTTATTAAAAAGTTTTGGAGCAGGAAAAAGGAAGCAAAATACACTTGGAAGAGGGCCAGCAGGGCAGGTTGAGAAATCCAACTGCCCTGTTTGACCTTTGACTTGGAGTTTTATGTATTGGTATGATTTCAGGGTTTTGCATCTCTCCTTCCTAGATTTTTCCTTGGAGCAGGTTGTCTGCACTTGGGAGGGGTCCCATTCACAGTGTGTTTACTGAAGTTGTGTGCATACTGATTTGAGGTGTTTTTCCTTTACCAGTCAAGTGTTCCTAGAGGAAGGGCATATACCAGTTAAACTCCACCATTTTGCCTCTTAGTGTGCATGCTTGAGCCCACTTGCCCAAATCCTGAGATCTTATTGGGAAGCTGCTGATCACCAGCTTCAGGTGTTTTCTATCTATTGGGAGACTGCTTTTCCCTGGCATTGGCTGCAACCAGTTATTTTAGAGAAACGTTTTAACAACTGCCTGACCATCACCTGATGGTTGTCTGACATTTATGGGCGGGAGCGGGGGGAATCCTCTCCCACACTGCTCATGTCTACCTAACTATCAACCCTAACTACACAGTATCAGAGGAATTAATTACTATGCAGTTGACTTTTTGTAATCCATGTGTAATCCATATGTGTGTGCATAAAACAGCCACTAAATCCTATAATGATCCCCAGACAATCTTCAGCTTTTAAGCAACTGTGCAGAACGATTTCACTCTGGCTTTACATTTTCGCTTCTTTATTTTGGCAATGAACTATCATGGACTAAATTTTGGGAGCTTTTCATTCAATACCAAGAACATGATATCTTAAATGTTTAATGACTAACCTAGACTTTGGTCTGTAGCACAAAGTCCATTTTTTTTTTTTAAATCAAACAGCAAGACACTTTAGAAATTTTTTTCTGCGTGAGCATGTATATTTGTGTGTGTGAGAGAGAGAAAGAGAGGGAAAGAGAAAAAGAGACAGAAAGGGAGACAGAGTTCTTCATTTTTAAAAGACTAACAATGATTTTTACCGAGGGCAGATTATCAAGACTTGATTATAAATCCCATATGTATTTTTAGTGAGGGCAGTTGCTAGAACAGTTACTGAGTTTAGCCTGGTAGTTAACTTAAAGTCAGGACTGAAATGTAAGCCATGGGGTGAGATTTCATTTGTAAAGTGTATTATGATACAAGACATAAGAGTTTAGCCGGGCTGATTCACAGATCAAGGGGTTCAGATATAATACACAACAAATTGGTGGACGAACAATAAAGGAAATAGAATAAAACAAAGTAAAACACCAACACAGTCACCAAATCTCCATGCAAAGACCTAGACAAAAAAGAACAACTTCCCCAAGATTAGAAAATGATTACATTTACTAATGAGGCTTTAGAAAGTGGCAAGTATTATCCTAATGTTCATCACTGAGGCTCAATCAACTGTTGGGAATTGATTGAAAGCGGATCTTTCACATCTGCAAAAAACATAAATATGACCGTAATTTGTTCTGTAAATATAGATTCTGAACCTAGACTCCCGGGTTGAAATACTGGCTCTACCATTTGCTAATTGCATAACCTTAGACAAGTTACTTAAATCTCTCTCTGATATTGCTCACCGGAAAAATGTGGATAATAAGAGTAGCTACTTCATAGTTTGTTTCAGAAAGGACTACGTATATTAACATACAGAATGCTTGAAAGAGTGGTTATCACACAGTAAATTTTCAGTAAGTACTAGCTATGTTTATTGCTATCGTTATGTTCATTATCGCATAAGTACTGACAGATAATAATTAACTCATTGCTTTGGGAAAGTCAGTTAGGTTCTCCGAACCCTGTTGCCTCTCCTATAAAATGCAACATATTCACCATTGATCTCTTTCTATATGATTATTTCTAAATTATAGGACCATTTCAAAATATGATACCATGCAACCCTCACAACAACTTTAGGAAATAAAGAGGGCAGGTAAAATTATTTTACATTTTATAGGTGAGACAATGAAGGCCCCAAAAGATAAACTGATTTGCCCAAAGTCAGTGTATTGCCATGACTTAAATGGAATATTTGTGATATAAAGTCCTGTGATCACCTGATGGGTTCTTCCTGCCCACTACATAGACAAAATCAATTCACTGAGATTGTGGCTTTGTAGTAAAGAGTTTAACTGATGCAAGTCTGGCCATAATGGTTGATGGAGTTACCACTTAAACCAGTCCCCCGAAAGGCAGAGAGGTTAGGGTTTTTCAAGGATAGTTTGATGGTCCGGGGGCTAGGGAGTGGGAAATGTTGATTGGTTGGGAATGAAATCATAGGGAGTGTGGAAAATGGTCCTCGTGCACTGCTTCTGCCTCTGGATGGAGGCCACAAGACATGTTGAGTCAGGAGTTGCAGCCAGAGGAGAGTCAGCCGATCTTCAGAAATGCAAAAGTCTAAAAAAAATCTCAAAAGGCCAATCTTAGGTTTTACAATAATGATGTTATCTACAGTAATAATTGGGAACGTTACAAATTTTGTGACCTGCAGAACAACGGCTGGCTATCCTTTATGCCTACATCTTAGCAGAATTCAGGCCCCTCTCATAATCCTAACCTGTGGCCTTTCATGGGTTTTATAAAGGAAGTTTAGTTTTAGGGAAGGCTATTATCATCATTGCGTTAAGGTTAAACTATAAACTAAATTTCTTCTCCCAAAGTTAGCTTGTTCTACACCCAGGAATGACCAAGGACAGCTCAGAGGTTAGAAGCGAAATGGAGTCGAGCATGTCAGATTTCTTTTATTGTCATAATTTTGCAAAGGCAGTTTTGGTTCTGTACACCTTCTAGCATGATTTCTAGAATCTCCAAAAATAATGATGCTGTGGAATTTCAGCCTTGTTGAAGCCATTACTTTGGTAGGCAGGCAGTCATTCATTAAAAGTCTCTTTCTGTCTCTCTCTCTTTCTGTAGTAGCTGCAGGACTGTATAATAATGTTATAGTGTTAGGGTCTACTTAAGTCAGTTTGAGCACAAGCCATTTAAGTATCGTTGAGAGTATTAAGCCCATGTGATTCTGCTCCTCTGGTTGACAGACAGTCATTTGTTTTTTGTATACACGCCAAAGTGATTATTTTTACCAATGGCTCTGCCGTCAACTGATCTTATGATGAAGCCAGAGCGTGCCTCAGAGTCTCCTGTAACTGCTGTGGGATAAAACCACCTGGAAATTCTTAAGAAACTTGTTCAGTCTAATTTCTAATGTCATGGTTCTTCTTAATAGCATGACTTGCAATGCCAAAGTCCTTTAGAATGGTTTATTAACCTGTCAGAGGCACATCTATGAATAATAATGAAGTCAAGGAGGTGTTATTACCTTACAGCTAAAAGAGTATATTGAAGAGCTTTCTCTGCCTGCAGTTTTATCCTATAGAATGTGATCCAGGACAGCAGTAGCACTCTTTCTACCTCCAGGCTTTCTTCATGCTGTGTATTCCTCTGAAAACTCAACGTGTCCGGCAACCACACAAATAGTAGCTTTAGATTATCACCAATAACTTGTTACAAGCAAAGAGGAATTCTGTTAATTCCCCCAACAGCACAGATGTGCACTTTATCCACAGGAATTTCAAGAACAGTGTCAGTTACCCTGATAGAAAAAGCCCAGATTGACAGAAAATGTCATATATCAGCTTCTCAATGCTCTGTGAGAGAATTTATGTACCAATTATTCCTCTTTAAATAAAATGTAGCTAAGGCTGGCACTCAGGTTTGTAATGAGCTGAGCACCATTGATGTTTTCCGTATAGAAAGACAGGCAACACATTCTGAAAATTCCCAAAGAAGAAGTCTTACCATTTTTAATGGGAAATAACAGTCATCTGGTATTTATTGGGCATTTACTTTATTCAGCCCTCAGCTAAACACTGTGTGGGAGCCTTAGAGTAAGTAAATGAAGCAGTTTCTCCTTTAGGAATTCATGACTTATCCAGGGAGCTAAAAAGTACATGCTGAAAATAATGTTTAAAAATGATAAATGAACCAACTGCTAAATTGAACAGAGGCAAGTGCATTTATAAGAATGATAAAAGGGAATATGTGTTTGAATGACCAGGAAGGGAACAACTCTCTTGTAGTATGGCCAAGGAGGGATAGTAAATCAATTTCATGCCAACCACCAAACACACAGAAGACAATGTGCTAAACATTTTGTTTATATCAGATAAGGGGAGGCTAAGAATATCATCATGAAGAATACCTAGGTGAACTGAATTATAGGTTCCAATTTCTCCCTTTCTTAAAGCGGAGTTATAAATCTACCCTATTGCCATGATCCATGGTGGGTGAATGTATCCTTCCTTCACTGTGGTCTGGGCCATGACGCTTCGTTTGGTGAATAAGTTGTTAATGAATGTGATAGAAGCAAAAGCTTAAAATGTGCTTCAGTGGTTAGTACCCTCTTGTATTTCTTGATCTGCCATGTAAAGCAGGTTGCCTAAGTACTTCCCTTTCTGCCCAAGGAGGAAGATACATGCAGCACATCTAAGCCCAACCCATAGATTGCATCCAAACACAGCTGGATGGGCATGCTGCAGCACATCTGCCCAGCAGAGCTCAAACTAGATCAGTTAATTTGTGCCTAACCTGCGAAGCAAGAGCAGAATAAATGCTTTGAATGTTATAAGCCACTAAGATATTGGAATTTTTTGTGACACAGAAAAAACTGGCTAATATAGAAATTAAGGCTGCCTTCTATAAGTTTTAATTTAGAGGGAACATAATAGTTTGTGCTTAAATAACTATATTACTCATTAAATAGAATAATTGTTTTGAGAGAAGTATAAAGTATTCTAGGGAGCAGGGGACATGGAGGAGGTGAGAGGTCTCAGGTTTATAAAGACTTTATGAGAGTGGTAGGAATGGTGTTGCCTTGAAGGGAAGGTGAGATTTGAGTAGATTTTTCAGAGACCACAGGCTCTTAGGCTTCCCATGTAACTGAAATTAACAAGAGGCCAAGAAGATTTCCCAGACAAGTCTTTATTTTGGGGCTTGTGCTCGAGTGCGAGGGAGATGGCAGAGATGGAAGGATTCTCTGGCTGGCTCCCCAGAAAGAGCATGTAGGGCTTTTTTTATGAGGCAAAGCGCAGGAATTGACATCAGGGGTAGGGCATGCAGGTTTGCATATCTGGTTGCCACGGTCATATTGGGTAATGGGCAACCTGGTGGTCTGGCTGGAGGCAATAAGGCTGCCAATGAATTGTTTAGCACATCTTTTGGATGTGGAACAATCTGCAACTTGGTTCCATATTTGAATCTCCTGAGGCCACTTTCTGGAAATGTTTAAGTAATGTTTAAGTAAAACACTACGAGAGCGGTGAAGAATGGCTATTTTCTTTGTATGTACGACTAAAGCCTCAGTGTGAGCAGCTGTAGCATCAGTAAGGTAGTGGTGTGGGTTTTGTGATCATGAGGAGAAGAAAAAAGAAAAAGGAGGAGTTGTGTCCCACTCTTATTCCATCTCAGACTGTGGAGGGGCAAGGGAAAGGTGCAGAGGTATCCCAGCTTTACAAAGCAAAATACACCGAGAATAATAAAGCGGTGTATAAATGAGAGTGATCTATTCAATGCCTATTGTTGCCATAACAACTTACCACAAATTTAGTGGCTTAAAACAATACCTGTTTATCACCTCACAATTGTTAGGTTAGAAATCTGGATGCTGCATCACTTAACTTAGAGTCTGGGCACTCTGCTTACAGTCTTACAAAGCCAATGGCAAGGTGTCAGCAGGGGTGTGTTCTTTTCTGAGGGATCTGGGCATGTATCCACTTCAGGCCTCATTCAGGTTTTTGCCCAGATTCAGTTTCTTGCAGTTGTAAGACTGAGGCTGCTCTTTCCTTGCTGACTGATATGGTTTGGCTGTGTCCCCATCCAAATCTCATCTTGAATTCCTACCTGTTATGGGAGGGACCGGGTGGGAGGTAACTGAATCATGGGGACAAGTCTTTCCCGTGCTGTTCTCTTGATAGTAAGTAAATCTCATGAGACCTGATGTTTTTTAACAGAGGTGTTCCCCTGCACGAGCTCTCTCATTCTTTGCCTGTCACCATCTGTGTAAGATGTGACTTGCTGCTCCTTGCCTTTTGGCATGATTGTGAGGCTTCCCCAGCCACAAGACTGTACGTTCAATTAAACCTCTTTCTTCTGTAAATTGCCCAGTCTTGGGCATGTCTTTATTAGCAGCATGAAAACAGACTAATACAGTGACTCTGGTGGGGCCTAGTTTTTACACTTGGTGGCTGCCCGCATTCCTCTTGTCAGAGTTGTTTGAACCAGGGCAACTGCATCTTGAATAGGGGCTGGGTAAAATAAGCCTGAGACCTACTGGGCTGCATTCTCAGGAGGTTAAGGCATTCCTTGTCACAGGATGAGAGGGGAGATCAACACAAGATACAGGTCATAAAGACCTTGCTGATAAAACAGGCTGTGTCATAAAGAAGCTGGCCAGAACCCACCAAAACCAAGATGGCGATAAGAGTGATCTCTAGTTCTCCTCACTGCTCATTATACACTAATTATAATGCATTAGCATGCTAAGTGACACTCCCATCAGCACCATGACAGTTTACAAATGCCATGGCAACATCAGGAAGTTACCCTATATGGTCTAAAAAGAGAAGGAATCCCCAGTTCTGGAAACTGTCCATCCCTTTCCCAGAAAACTCATGAATAACCCACCCCTTATGTAGCATATAATCAAGAAATAACCATAAAAATGGGCAACCAGTGGCCCATGCTGCTGCTCTGCCTATGGAGTAGCCATTCTTTTATTCCTTTACTTTCTTGATAAACTTGCTTTCACTTTATGGATTCGCCTTGAATTCTTTCTTACATGAGATCCAAGAACCATCTCTTGGGGTCTGGATTGGGACCCCTTTCCGATAACACTGTCATACTTTTCATATGGCCTCCCTCCGGCAGTGGTGGGTTGGTGAGTTCAGTCTGCTTCATGCGCTGAATCTCTCCTTCCTCTTTTACCTCCCATTCCGATTTTAAGGGCGCCTGTGATTACATTATGTCCATCTGGATAAAACAGGGTAATCTCCCTATTTTTAAATCAGATGACTAGTAATTGTCATTTCATCTGCAGTTTTTTCACAGAAGTACCTAGATTAGTGTTTGAATACCTAGGGGGCAGGAATCTGGGTGGGGGTGGGAAGCCTTCTTTAGAATTCTGCCTATTGCAGGTGGTGCATAAAGAAATTAGTCCTATTTGAATAAAATGTAGGGAGCATGTAGGAAAGTATATGTGTATAAGACCTACATGTAAACAGAACTTCTAGCTGTTAGTTGCAACTCTTCCTTCCACAGGGCTCATGATTGGGCTGGGAATAAGGTCAACAACATGCTGTCTTATTTGCTTTGCCATACCCCTTCCTAGTACCTGTAAACTTCCTCCCCTCTTTTTCAGCCAAAACTAAAGCTTATTATGCTTTAATATAATTTATATAAATTATATTATATAATTATATTCCCCATTATATATTAAATATATATTATATATAAATAAATATATATTATGTATACTTAATATATAAATATATATTATATATACTTATATAAATATATATTATATATACTTAATATATAAATATATATTATATATACTTAATATATAATATGTGAACTATATATAATATATATTTCATTATTATTCATATTCATATATTTATATTCATCATTATTCATATATTTCATTAAGTATTATATATGTTAATATATATACTTAAATAGTATAAATGAGGGAAATATAATTATATATGTAAAATGGGGAAATATAATTTTATATATACAATGGGGGAAATATAATATTGGACAACATTAAGAAGGAAAATAAAACTTATGCATTACAAAATGTTATAAAATGGAAAGACAAATGAAATACCAGAAAAGTAAATTTGTAAAATTTTAAAAGGCAAGGTACACTGATACATAAAGTGCTCTTGCATAAGCAACCCAAAACAAACATTGCAAATTAAAGAAAATTTCAAAAAAGAAACATAATTGTTTGATAAGCTTATGAAACTACATCCAAATATGACACTAATCTATATATTCCAAATTCAAATATCAAGGTGTTGTCTCCTATCAAGTATATAAAATGATATTGTTATACATGTTGTGGGCAAGATGACAGTGGAAGGGTTCATCATATGTAGCTTTTGGAAGTGCAATTATTACCACTTCCCTGAAAATCGTCTTAAACTGTTCACACTTTTTTCAGCCAGTAATTAAATATCTAGTGTAAAATCAGAGATAAACACAAATACATTGTAGTGTTACTGATAATGTTTAAAATTGAAACCAATGTAAATGTTTAACAATATTAGATTCCCTATTGTATTAGTCTCCTATGGCTGCTGTAATAAACTGCCACAAACTTAGTGGCTTATAACCATAGAAATGTATTCCTTCACAGTCTAGAGGCCAGGCATCTTAAACCAAAGTGTTATCAGGGCCACATTTCTCTGGAGGCACTAGGGAAGAACACATTCTTTGCCTTTTCCATCTCCTGGTGGTTGTCAGCATTCCTTGACTTGTGGCCACATCATTCCAGTCTCTGGCTCTGTGGTATCATCGCCTTTTCCTCATCTCTGTTTGTCTCCTCTGTGTGCCTTTTATAAGGACACCTATTGGATTTAGGACCCACAATAATCTTCTTCTCTCAAGATCCTGAACTTAACTACATCTCTAAAGGCCCTTTTTCCAAATAAGGCAATGTCCACCGGTTTCAGGGATTCAGCTAGAAATATCTTTTGTAGTGGTCACCATTCAACTCACTATGGCTATTGTGTTTTAGTAAATCCATATGCTAAAATATGCAGCCATTAAAATTACATTTGAGTGGCATGGAACAATGATAAACATAGGAAGATATAGTTGTATATGCTATACTATTCCAATGTTGCAAGAAGAAATTAAAGGAAAAAAAAGAAAATATAAACACCTCATAAGCACCCTATCTTAGTCCATTGTGTGTTGCTATACAGCATACCACAGATCAGGTAATTTGTAAAGAAAAAAAATTATTTCTTACAGTTCTAAAGGCTGGGAAGTTCAATGTTAAGTGGTCCACACCTGCTAAAGGCCTTTTATCTCATCCTGTAGTGGGAGGGAATAGGGCAAGGAGCACTAGACCACAAAGGAGCAAGATGGGGCTGAATTCATTTTTATAATAGGCCCATTCTTGTGATAACTAACCAACTCCCAAGATAAAGGTAGACATTAACCGTTCATGAGAACAGAACCCTCATGTCCTAATTGCCTCATTGCGTTGAGAGGCCTTACCTCTTAACACTTGCACTGGGGGTTGTTTTCAACACCTGAATGTTTTGGGGAGACATTCAAACAGTAGAACACAGATTTTTTGAAGAGGACAAAGACCAGGCATGGTAGCTCACACCTGTAATCCCAGCATATTTGGGAGGTCACTGTGGGAGGATTGCTTGAGGCCAGCAGTTTGGAACCAGCCTAGGCAACATAGTGTGACCTCCATTGCTACGAAAAAAAAAAAAAAAAAACAAACTATTAGAGTGTAATGGCACACGCATGTGGTCCCAGCTGCTTGGGAAGCTGAGGTGGCAGGGGTGGTAGTTTCTTTGAGCCCAGGAGTTTGAAGCCGCAATAAGCCATGATCATACCACTGTATTACAGCCTGGGCAACAGAGCAAGACCACCCTGTCTCTAAAAAATTTTTTTTGAAAGTGAACAAATTTATATTATAATGTACCTCAATGCTTTTCAAACTTATCTCTTTCTGAATGGTGGGATTTAAATATGCTTTTATTCTTTTATTTTGTTGTTTGATTGCAGCATATAAGAGCATACAATTATTTACAGCAAGACAAGAAATTTGTTTTATTCTGTTTTTCAATTAAAGAGTAGAATAAATTAAGGGCAAACAAAATTTTAAAAAGTTAACCATAATGAAGTAAATTAAATAAAACATAAAACAAAAATATGTTTAATTAAAATAATGAACTATATATGAATAAATGAAACACATGGGGTTTTCAATTATTTGTAATAAATTAGAAACTATAAGAGAAAAACTCATAATGCTTTTTAAAAAGTTTAAATATAAATTAATATATTGTGGAGAAAAATTGAAACTCTACCTACATGGAGAAAAATTAAAACTCTATTGAGAGACAAAAAAATTGAAAAATGGAGACAAGGTTGCATTATTTGATGGGTAGACGACATTGTAAAATGTCAAATCCTTCAAATTGTGTAATGACTTAACAAACAAAAGGGGTTTAGAGGAACATTAGAAGTCAGCCCAGGGAAAGGACCATATGTAGTCTCTAACACCACAATAAGGTTAAGGAAAAACGCTGATTTTATGAATGTGTTGAAATAGCAAAATCTCAAACCTGGTTTCAAGTGACTAGCTTCAATCCCCAAGTCAAGGATTTATTTCAGCTGAGCCAAGTTTACTCATCTGTAAAGTGGGAATAATAATAACCATCTAGAGGTTTGTTGTAAAAGTCCATCAATGTAATAGACATAGAAGCACTTAGTTAAGCTGTAAAGCAGCCTGCAAAATTTATTGTTCTTTCTGCCTACAGTATATGTGTTTAAGTGATTACAGTTTCTGAGGGCTCAGAGGATGTCAAATGCAGAGACCTTCCTGAGGATATATTTTGATATTTCTTTTATTCCCACTATTCTAAATAATTTCCATTATCATCTTTAAAACAAATTTTTGACTCATTTGATTAGTAGACACAATTATTGTTGGTCATTTAATCATATGATCATCTAATTTTAGAGGCAGAAGAGAACTTTGGGATTACTTAGTGCAATTCCCTTATTTTATAGATGAAGAAAAAGCCCCCAAGCATTAAGCAATTTGCCCAAGTTCCCCAAGCTGCTGTGGGTAAAAGTAATAAGTAAGTAGTAATGAATAAGTAAATGGTTACATTGTGGCTTGGGACCTCTTGTCTGGACACTAATATTAGACCTCCACAACCTTAAATTGAGTGAAGTCACCCGTATATCAACAGCATTAGATAATATCTCATTGGATAAATGTTGGGCAACATTTATCTGACTTAGGGTAATGGATTCTGATGGTCTCTGTTTCCAAAATAAAAGGGACTCTAATTGTATCTAAGTAATAAGCTTGTAACAGTTATGAGACTGGATACTGTAGAGATTTAGTTGAAACTTTCAGTTTTAGGGAGATTTAGGACCAAGTGCCTCAGAATTGCCCCCTCCCCTAAAAATCACTTAGGAAAGCAAACAAGATCTGGTTTAGCAAAGAGTAGGAAAACCAATAGCATTTAGATTACAAATGAGATTTGAAACTAAAAAAAAAAAAATGTCCTTATGAGCTTGTCTGAGGTTTGCCTTGAGAATGATAAATAACAAATTGAGGATGGATTTTGTCTAAGTCACACTATGCTCCTCAGACAGGACTTTGGACTCGTAAGTAAATGAACCGCAGCATGAACTCTAGAGGGGTTGTTCAACTGTAGCCAGTTCTTGCTCCTGGCCCATGAAGACCACCTAGATTATAAAAAGTATCATAATTCTTGTACTCCAACCTCTAAAGAATTTGGACCTCCCACAATTGCTCGGTTAACTCACAAATTTTTTAAATAAATTCTGTTTCTGATAAGTCAGAAGACAAACTGAAAGGCTGTGAAGTGCTTCTTTTATGTAACAGATTGCTTATAGCTTATTACATTTCCCTTTCTTCTAAACAAGAAAAATCATATTAGGAAAGAAGAAAAGTACATTACATTATCTTTGCACTCATTTATTTTCCCATAATCACTGGGCTAATGGTAGCCCTAGGCATAACCTGATAAAACTAAGAGGAGGATTAGGTAGAAAGTATCTCCATGAGTTGATAGTCATATTTGTGCTTTGTTTCAATTTTCTATATTCATAAAAATCTTGCAATGCTGAAGAACTAATAAACTCTGACACCCCAAATGTTCTTTGTTTTTTTAATTATTTTTTGTATAACTGGAGACAAAATGTTACTATGTTGCCCAGGCTGGTGTTGAACTCCTGAGCTCAAGCTATCCCACCACCTTGGCCTCCCAAAGTGCTGAGATTACAGGCATGAGCCACTGCACCTGGCTGCAAATATTCTTTAAATGGTTCTATAATATATATGAAAACCACATTTTTCCCCTTGTACTTTCGTATTAGGTTGGTGCAAAATTAATTGTGGGCAAGCCTGCAATTAATTTTGCACCAACCTAATATTGGATCAAAAATTATATTGAAAATTTAGGAGCAGAGCACATCAAATGTTAGAAAGGTATAAGATAAGGGGTGAGGTCCATTTCTCAACCTGACACTACTTAGGTTTACAGATGTCATAATTGCATTTTTTTCAGGAATCTTGACTTCCTGATGGTCAGCACCTTAGAGACTGTGCTTGCTCTAAAGGAGACAAGCAATAGTCATTGGGTCATGGGAGAATATATTGTCTGTTGACTCTTCCTTCGAGAAATTCTGGGCTCTTGGCATCTTTATCCAGAATTCACTCACAGCAGCATTAAGAAAATATTGACCACAACCCTGTAAGATCTAAAATGAATTACCTTATCCTATTTTACTTAGACTGTCCAGATCTTCCAGTAGTTAAAACAGAACTGTTTCTTCTGTGAGATTTTAAAAATTGGTAGATTCATTCATTGTTGCTGGGTTTTTGTTTGTTTGTTTTGTTTTGTTTTGTTGTTGTTTGTTTGGAGGCTTTTTCATTTTTTGTTGTTTTTAGTGAAGTTTGCAATGAAACTTGAATCCTGTGCTATTTAGTGAAAGCACAGTGTCCAGCTTCACTCTCCCATAATACAATACACATATAGACACAGCAAGTTGCCTACGAATAGAGTCTAAAAGAACTACTTTTGTTTGGGCAATCTACTCTCTTAAGCATGGACATATTTTTCACTAAGCCAGTCCCAGGAATCTCATCTCCTTCTTTCTGTGAATGGTTTGGGAATTGGTTTACAATATAATTCTGGCCAAGTGCAGGCAAGGGAAAATCTCTCAGGGAGACTTCTAGGAAAGCGTTCCCTAAATATACTAAGAAATTGTCCTTCCTCTTTTGGAAATTTTTACATCTGAAAGTTATATCTAGAATTGCGGAAGCCTTTTTTGTGACCACAAGGGTAAGCCAACAAGCTGAAAAAGGCTAAGAGGAAGGACTGATATCACAGACATGTGATGGTTAATTTTGCATCAGTTGACTGGGCTAAGGGATGCCGGATGCCTGGATAGCTGCTATATGTTATTTCTGGTGTTTGAGTGAGGGCTTTTCCAGAGGAGATTAGCATTTGAATCAGTAGACCTCGTAAAGATCTCCCTCACCAATCATCATCCAATCTTGAGGGCTTGAATAGAAGAAAAACACAGAAAAGGGGCAAATTAGCTTTCTTTCTGCTTGAGCTAAAAAAATCCATCTTCTCGGCCAGGCGCAGTGGCTCATGCCTGTAATCCTAGCACTTTGGGAGGTGGAGGCCAGTGGATCGCCTGAAGTCAGGGGTTCGAGATCAGCCTCGCCAACATAGTAAAACTCTGTCTCTACTAAAAATACAAAAATTAGCTGGGCATGGTGGCACAGACCTGTCATCCCAGCTACTCAGGAGGCTGAGGCAGGAGAATCACTTGAACCCAGGAGGTGGAGGTTGCCGTGACCCAAGATCATGCCATGCACTCCAGCCTGGGCGACAGAGCAAGACTCCGTCTCAAAAAAAAAAAAAAAAAAATCCATCTGCTCTTGCATTTCAACATTGGAGCTCCTTTCAGGCCTTTGGACTTGATATCCCTGACTCGCGGGCCTTTGAGTTTGGACTGGAAATGTACCATGGGCTTTCCTGGGCCTCCAGCTTACAGATGGCAGATCATGAGACCTCACAAGTTCCATAATCATGTGAGCTCATCCTTTACAATAAATCTCTTTCTATTTATCCTTTTATATATCCTGTTGGTTCTGTTTCTCTGGAGAGCCCTTACTAATATACAATGGGTTCATGATGTTGTTGAGCTGATAAAAGCTGATCACTTTGGAGCTACCTTACCTTGGAATTTCTTGGGTGTTATTGTCCTTAATATTAAGGATACTTTGAATTGGATTGTCTACTACTTAGCCTAAGTGTACTAACTGATCATTTGCTTTTCCAGTCTCTTCAAGAAGACAATAGAATGTGCTTTAAAAAGTCAGTAGGATGGAATAGGAAGAAAAATCTGAAGGGAAGGGCATTGGATCATTTTAACACTGATTCAGAGAATATTCCACATAGGTAGAGGAGTAAAAGCAGCGAAAAAAAATTCTGTCACTTCTTCTTGACATGTATAACTTCTCAGATACAACTTGTAAATGTGAAAGTGCATAGAAAAACTTTTTGAAAGCTAAAGTGCAGTCGGATCACTAACCAGTATTATTTAAAGCACATTGCAGGCATTGAATTGAGCAGGATTTTGAACGTGGGCCCTGTCTCAAAGCAGAAGCTTCTGGGCATAAGGGTCTCCCATAAGCAAATGGGGCCAAAATAGAATGAGTTTGCAAGAATGAGTATGCAAGACTCAAAGCAATAAATAAAACTTCCTAGATTTCTGTGGTTTCAACCAATTCATTGAACTATTTTTTGATCAGAAACCAGTGATCTTAGCATAAGTTTCTACATGCTTACTTATGGCAAGATGTAGTTTAGCACAGACATACACACATTATTAATCTTTCTCAAGGCAGATTTCACTAGAACAAGTAGTGCAAATTAGAACTTGTCTCAAAAAGATGTGCCATGTTGATGCAAGCTAAATGACACTTTGATATAATTACTGGTTAAAATATAATTACGAAGAAATTGGATTCATAATAAAATTCCAAGACTTCACTGAGGGGTCAAAGGGGTATGCATTCTTAGACACAATGTTAGTAGAGAATGAGAATGTATATGGAAAGCACCTGCTTTTACCAGATTTATGTTGAAAACTTCAAAAAAAAAAGCCCAGAGAAACCACACACACACACACACACACACACACACACACACACACATGCTCTCTCTCTCTCTCTCTCTCTCTCTCTCTCTCTCTCTACAGATCTAGGACCAAGACAAACAAAACATTGTATGATATTGACGTTAGATTGCAAGTTAAGAGAACTAATAGCCAATCCTTGTATCATCCTGAGGAATATATTGGGGAAAACCTTACACTGCTTCCAGTTTTCTGTGTTTTAATTTGACAGTCCTTATATTGAGGTTCAGAACTCAAATGATAATTGGTGTCTTTCCCTTTAAAATTTTATTTGACCCCTCAGCAAGGCAGAGGAGGAAAGAGTCAAATTTGTGGTGTGTGTGTGTGTGTGTGTGTGTGTGTGTGTGTGTGTGTGTGTTGGGGCTTGCTGCTGCACTTCATGGAAAAGTGGAGCTGTTTTGGTTTAGGTTAAAGTATGTCTTCAGCTTTGGTCAATGCATCTTACATCTGGGGAATGTAGCTATCATATTGCACAGTTCAGGTTTAGAAGGCATCTCAATTAGAATGCTTTTGAGGAGGCCACTGAAGAAACTCAAAATGGTGAAGAAATAAATATAGAGGCTGGGTGCCGTGGCTCACGCCTGTAATTCTAACACTTTGGGAGGCCGAGGTGGGCAGATAACAAGGTCAGGAGATCGAGACCATCCTGGCTAACATGGTGAAACTCCGTCTCTACTAAACACACACACAGACACACACACACACAATTAGCCGGGCGTGGTGACACGCGCCTGTAGTCCCAGCTACTCAGGAGACTGAGGCAGAAGAATCCCTTGAACCCGGGTGGCGGAGGTTGCAGTGAACCGAGATCAAACCACTGCACTCCAGCCTGGGCGACAGTGAGACTCTGTCTCAAAATAAATAAATAAATGAATAAATAAATAAATAAAGACATGGGGTGATCCTAGGGCAAATTCCATGACATTAAATATTCGGGTTCTTTCCATCATTTGATTCTTCACTCCTCAGTAAGTTAGCTTTGTACTTGAGGCCACTCCACAAAATAACCAGAATTCCGCTAAACATACTCTGATTACCTCTGAATTAGATGAATTTTCATGTTTCTTTAAGTTTTAAAATTCCAATTTACTCTACCCAAATATATTGTAGAGGATCAGCCATATGTCTTTAAATCTGAAATCTCCCAAAATACCTTCTGAAACAAACTACAACAATGCGGTTTTTAATTCTGTGAAGGAACGTATGTTTGGTGGAAGTGGAAGGCTAAACATAAATTTAGTAGTTCCTTAATGTTAGCGAGCAAAATATTCACAAAAACTATAATGAACAAATAAAAGTCAATTAAATCCATTTAAATTATTATAAAATAAAATAAATATTTAAGATGGACTTAAGCTATCTGCTGCTGATTGTAATTTGAAAAACTGATCTATATCAGCAAGCTTTGGGTTTCATTTATCCAGTACTAGAATGGACAGAGAAACCTTTCAATTCTTTAGGAGTAGTTCCCATACCAGATTTTTAAAGGAAACAGTCACAATTTGATGAACGCATCCATCATTAAAAGTCTGAAATGTAGAGGGTATTAGCATTCTTTGTCTCACGTGATGAGAATAATGAACATTTACTCTTTTTTAAATAATTGTACTTAAAAAACAATTCACTACCCACTATTAGCATTTGGAATAGGCTCTAGTGAATTTTAATTCAAGGAAACAAATGTAAGGACCCTAGAAATACACCATTCATGTGTCACAATGGCAAATTTTGATAAGCTATCACTGTTGATTTTAAACAATAAACAGCTCAATTTTCACTGCTTATGAATAGGTTATGTTCAGTGCCCCATGGTTCCAGTCAGTGTAGAAATGGCTCCAGAGCAATTGCTGTAACAGGATTTTGGCTCACTGGGCTTCTGTCAAAACTCACAACTAAAGATACTGCTCTGAATATAGGAAGCGAGGAAAAGCTTTAAGAGTGCAAATGATTTTAAAGCTCAAAATAGCTTACATTGACTTTGACGGCAGTTGTTCTTTTTCTCCACCTCCATTCCTAACTCAAGCTCATTCAGGGTCTTTTGTAAATAGAATGGACAGTTTGTAACTTCCATCAGTGATCTCGTGATAATCAAGACCCACTTTTCACTGTTCTTTTACTGTGGAGGAGATGGGGCGAAGGAGGCACCCACCAGAGGCAGGATGCACAGTTCTGCTGCTAGTGTGATGCTCGGCAGGTTGAGCCTTGAAGCAAAAGGAGGCTGGTGAAAATGTCCACTCCTAGGGCCCCTCCAAGGGTTAAGAGAGTTAATGCATATAAAGGAAGGTCCTGGCACATAGGAAATGCTCAATATCAACAAATGGATCTGTTCATTTAGTTTATTACTAAGAAGTCTCTTTGTTGCTCTCAGCTAACTCAGATGTTCATCCTTTTGATTTTTGCTTTGTATAGGTTACATTCACTTCTTTAGAACTACTGCAACCATCAAGCCATAATTCTTAATAATCTTGATGATATTTCATTCAGTCTTAAGTGGGTAGAAGTCCATAAATCTACCGTGGAGAGCTCCCCAGCATTCTGTATCAAGGGATAAATACACAGCTTTGAGAGGGTGAGGAGAGCCAGCTTGCTGCACCAGAGTTTTGACAGAAGTTCTTGGAGTAGTTATGAAGTCTGTGGGTATGGGGCCAACATGTTTTTTTGGTAGACTTTAATCTTTCATCCGGGTTATATTCATTGCCAAAGATGTTTTCAGTTCCTGAAAACTCACTCATTTTACTTTAGACGTATAGCCAGGAAGACTGTTAGAGCTCCTAATTCTCTGAAATTCTATGGATGTGAAATTCCTCTCAGATAATATCACTGACCTGGAGTAAGTACTAGGTGATTTGTTAACATGATAAAACTAGTACACCACAAAAGACAGGCAGTCCCCTGAGGCCTGAGATTTCACACAGCACTTTGACTTTATGGCCATCTCCCTCCTCCGGGGCATAAATTTGATTATTTTAATGCTCTGGAAAGATAGAGAATTTGTAGGGCATTTAAGATATGGAAACTTAGTTTGGCCATCACAAGGTCAGATTTCTTTTTTTGTCATGGTGCTATCTAAACAAATGCTCTTATATCTTTGCTTATGGTACTTTTCAGTCAAGGCTGAGAATAAGTTTACATTTTAAAAAGGAAAATCTAAAATTTCCTTTTTTAAGTGCAAACTTAGAAACAGGGGTATTTAGAGATGGGGAGTGTTGCTGTCATGAATTACCTGCTTTGTCACAAACTTCATGACTTCAGCTATAGCTCTTCTTTATTTTCAAAAGCCTTAATAAGGTGACCTGAGATGAGTTTCTCAGTCACAGCCCCATGACGTGTAATTAGATAATGAAACTCAAATTTTTAGGGAAGTCTTTGTACTGAATAAGAAGTGGAAGAAATGACTTAACTGGGCTCTAATCAAAGAAAAGTAAAGACCTGTGACAGAGAGACAGCTGGGGAGATGGAATGACTTATGAATTTGCCCTTGTTTTAAATTATAACACTATAGCCGGGCGCAGTGGCTCACGTCTGTAATCCCAGCACTTTGGAAGGCCAAGGTGGGTGGATCACCTGAGGTCAGGAGTTCAAGACCAGCCTGACCGACATGGTGAAACCTCATCTCTACTAAAAATATAAAATTAGCCTGGCATGGTGGCGCATGCCTGCAATCCCAGCTACTTGGGGGGCTGAGGCAGGAGAATCATTTGAACCTGGGAGATGGAGGTTGCAGTGAGCCGAGGTTGCACCATTGCACTCCAGCCTGGGCAACAGAAGTGAAACTCGATCTCGAAATAAATAAATAAATAAATAAATAAATAAATAAATAAATGATAACACTATGTCTTGAAAAGCGGTGAAAAAAAAGCTGGGCATTAATTTTGTTACATTTTCACGTTATTGATTTTATTGTAAGACCTACAGCACTTATTCTCAGATTTTAGTGTTCCTAGGAGTCATTCCTGATGCCTATTAAGATGGGAAAATTCTTTTTCCACCTCAGAGCTACTACAGTAAATGAGGAATCTGAATTTTATGCGCAATAAAGTTTAAGATTAGCTGCCATAAAATATTCCCCCATTTCTTCCTGTTGTCAAATTTGCCTTTGCTAAATCTATAACTGGAGTCAAGTCACCTTCTGTTTCCCTTGATTAGACAACAAGTATTTTTGACTGTCTTGAAGGTAAAATCATTTTTAGATTTTCGGAGATGCTAGTATCAATAGGAACTCAAGTTCAGTCTAGTTTTTATAATATTTATTTAGCACTGATCTCCTACTACATACAGAACACCTGGTCCTCAGATCCAAACATGGACCCTGCCCTCAAGATCCTTTTAACCAAGTAAAAGATGCAGAAAAGCTGACGGACCTGAATCTGGTCAATAAACTGTGAGAGATGCTCAGAGTAGGTTCTGAGGAAGGGCACTCACCCTAGCTTTAGGAGTGTGGGGATGGTCAGGAAATTCATTCTGGAAGAGGTAACACCAGAGACCCATCTGAAATGGTGATTGGGCTTTAGCTAGGATTTGGGTTATTCAAAGGATAGGGAAGACATTATAGGGTGGGAGAACATTTCTGGCAATGCCATGTTAAAAGGAAAACATGATATTTATGGAGATCACACATATTATTAGGTGCTGGAGATGAGTCTGGAAAATGAAGCCAATTTTTGGAAGTCACATTTAGGACCTGAGACTTTGTCCTAAAAATAAAGGGAAGGTTGGCAAGAAGCTTTTCGTTAGACACACCCATATCAAAGATGACACACAATTGCCACAAAACAGTATTGCGTGGTGAAATAGTTTGCTCATCAAGTCAGTTTGCATTTAGAGACAAAGGCATAATTCTTCCTCCTGTCATGGTAGATAAGAGCAAATGCCCTTTTGCAGCAATCACTCACAATCTTATCTCTGAAATAAATAGATAAGATTAATGCGTGGTGTTTATGTTAGCTGGAGATTTAGGCAGTTGGTGTAGAGACATCATTGCTCGTACTGGTGATGCTGTAATAGAAACTATTCATTAGCACTGCCAAAGCCATGCTTTAAAGCAGTGGTCCCCAACCTTTATGGCATCAGGGACCAGTTTCATGGAAGATAATTTTTCCATGGACCAGGTTGGGGATTTTGGGATGATTCAAGCACATTTCAATTATTGTGAACTGTATTTCTATTATTACTACATTGTAATATATAATGACATAATAATACAACTCACCATGATCTAGAATCAGTGGGAGCCCTGAGCATGTTTTCCTGCAACTAGATGGTCCCATCTGGGGGTAATGGGAAACAGTGATAGATCATCAGGCATTAGAATCTCAAAAGGAATGTACAACCTAGATCCCTCTCATGCACAGTTCACAATAGGGTTCTCGCTCCTATGAGACTCTAATGCCGCTGCTGATTGCTGATCTGATGGGAGGCAGCACTCAGGTAGTAAGGCGAGCAAGGGATGGGGAGCAACTCTAAATACAGATGATGCTTCACTCACTTGCCTGCCACTCACCTCCTGCTGTGCAGCCCAGTTCCTAACAAGCCATGGATGGGTACTAGTCTGTGGCCTGGGGTTTGGGGACCTCTGCTTTAGAGAAAACTATGATACATAGAGACAATAGAACATGGTGGGTAGGGACTCAGGCTGTGGATTCAAATCTGAGCCCTGCCATGTTCTATTTCTGTGACCTTTGGTAAATTATATAACTCTCTTAGCCTCAATATTCTTTTTTTTTTTTTTTTTAAGTCTGGGAGATAGTTCATGATAGTGAACAGCAGTGATGAAAATTAAATGAGGTAATACACTGTTATGGATTGAATTGTGTGCCAGAAAAAAGAGATATTGAAGCCCTATCAGACTGACACCTCAGAATGTGACTGTATTTGGAAACAGAGTCTCTACAGAAATAATAAAATTAAAGCGAGTTATTAAGGCAGACTCTAATCCAATATAACTGGTGTTCTTATAAAAAGAAAAATCTGGACACAGAGGCAAGTATACAGGACGAACATATGAACATGAAGACAGAGATCAGGGTAATGTATTCATAAGCCAAGGGATGCTACAGATTGCCATTAAGCCCCTGAAAGCCAGGACAGAAAAATGGTAAAGTTGCTCCCATCAGCTCTCAAAAGAACTCACCCTGCCAACACATTGATCTTAGACTTCTAGTCTCTAGAACTGTGAGACAATGAATTTGTGCTGTTTGGCCACCTAGTTTATAGTACTTTGTTATGGCATCTCTAGCAAACGAATACATTCACATAAACACTCTGGCACATAGCAAGTGGACAACAACATTATCATTATCAGTCTTCCTTTTTTTCTTTTTCTTTTTTTTTTTTTTTCCCTTTTTGAGACGAAGTCTTTCTCTTGTCGCCCAGGCTGGAGTACAGTGGCGTGATCTTGGCTTACTGCATTCTCTGCCTCCTGGGTTCAAGCGATTCTCCTGCCTCAGCCTCCTGAGTAGCTGGGATTACAGGCATGCGACACCACACCCGGCTAATTTTGTATTTTTAGTAGATACGGGGTTTCCCCATGTTAGTCAGGCTAGTCTCAAACTCCTGACCTCAGGTGATCCGCTTGCCTCAGCCTCCCAAAGTGCTGGGATTACAGGCCTGAACCACCGCCCCCAGCCTATCAGTCTTTCTTATTGCTGTTAATACTATGCTTTATCACATTTCCAGATTTCTACTCAGACTCTTCTTGTCCAATCTGGCTCCTTTGATGAGAGCGCATTGTTCTATGTGTCATGGACAGGAAAATCAGAGGTATAATGCAGAACGTGATGTACAGATTTCTTACCGCTATGTGTATAGGGCAGGGCCATTCTGGAAGCATTGAAACCAGTTATCAGCCAGTCGCAGGTAATGCTAGGATGGTGACATGACAGAGCAGGGTAAAAAGCAAAGGCTTTGGATATGAACAGACTGGGCCTGACATCTTCAGAAAAAACAAACTAGTCAACAAATGAAACAAAACAACAAAACACAATACAAACAACTTAGTGGTTTGATTAGGGATGAAGAAGAAGTTGAACATATATTGATAAGATGCTTGTGTGCTTCTGTATCTTATTTTAACATGAATCACAGATATTTATTTGTTATATAGTATTGACCAGAACTAAAGACAGTTACAAGAAGAAGAATATAAAGGAAAAATAAGAGGAAGAAAATAGGAGAAGGAGAGAAAAGAGGAGGAGGAGAAAGAGGAGTGTGTGTGGAAATCAGCCTTGTAGATTCAGGCAGTTCCTTCTATTGCGAACACAGTACTTCAGCATAATTTCTCAGGAAGGCATGATGGAACCTTTACCAACATAATTTCATTTCAAGGAGGAGCTTTTGCTTTGATATTTGTGAATCCATTCACTCTGAGCTTAATGTAACTGTGCTCTGCCAGTGTACTTGACCAATAAGCAAGGGAGAAAGAAGAGAAAATATCTGGAAGTATTTGTATGCAGTTGGGAGGCCGTGGGGAGAAGTGATAAAAAGAATAAAAAAGAGGAGAGACAGAGAAAAAATAAGCAAAATAAACAAATAAACAAATCAAAGGATGCTCAGCATTATTGTTAAGTACACAGGTTCTAAACCCTAGCTCTGTCACCTCAGGCACATGACCAACTTCTTTTAAGACTCTGCTCCCCATCTATAAAATGAAGTTAATAATAACACTTATCTCATTGAGCTAATTATGAGGATTAAACTAGCTAATACACAAAAAACTTAGGTTGTTTCTGTTCATGAATTATTACTGTGCTGGGTATTCATCAAGAGGACAGGATTAAATAAATCATGGTATATCTATTCTATAATGGCATTAAAGTGAATCTGGTAAGGCTTCATGTGTCAATGAGGCAAAATGTTCAATATAAACAGTTAAGTACAAAACAAGACTTGTGTAAGATAGTCCATAATATCTACCCATTGCCTTGAAAAATGATATATTTTCTTGCAGATTTATATATGTAGATTGTTTCTGAAAGAATGACCAAGAAATTGGTTATAATGATTCTTCTGTGGAAGTCATCTGGAAAACCAGAGTAAAAAACGTCATATTTTATTGTATTCCTCTTTGTTGTATTTGAAATTTTATTATTTGCATGTATTATTTTTTCAATGAAAAATAAAGTAAAAAATGAAAAAAAACCCAGAAAAGTAAAACTAGCTTCTGTATAGTTTGAGAAGATTCAATGAGATAATATATAAAAGTTAGCATTGTACCTGACAATTAAAAAGCCCTACAATAATTATTACTATTATTAATAAAGTCATCTTTAACTTTCAGTGTAACTATTGAATGCTAAAAAAAAAAAAGGGGGGATGTTTATGAAGAAGGAGGCATTGGGCTCATCAATGATGCTGCCAGAGCTGCTCAGCTGCCTTCTTTTTGGGGGTATGATTAACCACACTTTGCATGGTGTGGTTTACAGGTATGGTGAATGTTAGCTTACCTCCATGGCTTCCTGGTCTTTTAATGACATTGATTCATGTCAGGGCACCCATTTTCACATTATCAGTTTAGAAAAGTTTAGAGAAGGCCTCCTGAGACTCTTCGCTAACAGGAGGCTTCCTGACCCCAAGGTCTACAGATTGGCTCCAATGGAGAGCTGTAATCCTGTTTCATTCTAGGGTAAAAGTTTTCAATTTAAGGAGGAAATCTCAGAAGAGGGATACATGTTTTAAAGCTAATAGTGTATAAGTTAATTTTGGTTCTTCAAACTAGAGTGGCAGAAAAAGGGAGATTCCCTTAAGCCTTGGATTGTTTCTGTTAAGCAATTTTCTAGAAAAACCAGGGACACTATGTGTAGCTTGAAAGTGTTTAAATTGTGTGTACACCCTCCCCGCAACATGCACACACAAAATAGAAACAGAAAAACTAGACTCTTTCAATGTCAGTCCTTACCTAGGTGGCTAACATAAGCTGTTATCATTGTTCTCAGTTTGATCCTTCAAAAACATTCTTTGTTTATGAATTTATTCAAGGAGCCACTGTGAGCCAATCTCTATCTCACTTATTTCAGCATATTGGTGCTGGGAAATCTGTTTTGTTTTCTTCTGCTGTACTTAGAGCAATGAGAGACTACTTTGAATTGGTGATTTGTGGAAAAGCAACTAGACTAGGAGTTATTAGTGGCTAAGCTGGTGACTCTGAGGCAACCCATTGGAAATGAGCTGAGAAAGTTGTCCTTTCATTGCAAACTTGCTCTCTCACAGCACAATCTAACCCATGTAAAAACAAATATAATAACCTCAGCACTGGGGAAAACACTTTGTTTTTCTTAAATGTATGTGTTATGTATAGTTAAATGTACTGCTATATACATAATATATATATGTCTGTGTATGTGTGTGTATGGTGATATATATATATATATATTCTTTCCTCTTACTTGGCAAGACACGATGCTCCAAGAGCACAAATAGCCTTTGAAAGTCTAATAATTCTGTTTCTTCCCCCATTTCTTGGGTTCTTTCATTACTCTATAGTTTTCAGGTTGGTTAATTGTATTTTCAGTCTGTACATTGCATGGCAAATAGTAAACCCATTTAGTGAAAAAACATCTGTTAGTTGCTGAGGTTGGTAAAACACTGAAGACATTAGTCATCTTAGAACCAATGAAAAAAATAATAGGGTTTAGCTATTCCCTTCAATTGCTTTGGGAAATAGTGTGGTGGCAACATAAGTATTAGGTTTCATTTTCTCAAAGTTCTACAGCCAGGTAATCTGAACTGTTTCCCAGATAAGTCTGTGTCCTTAAGTGTCAAGTAAACTATAAAACTTTAGTTCCTAAAATTGTAATTTCAGGTTTGCTTGGTTCAATGCTTCTTTCAGAACCATATTTTCATGTATTTATTCATGCATACATGTTTGTTTTCAACCAAAATCTATTGAGCACTTATCATATTCTAAGTCCTGGTTGAGATGCTGGAAAAATATGAATGACAAGTAATGTGAGATCTGATTTGAAGAAGGTTTGGCTTAGGAAACAGACATGTAAATAGATAATTCCACCACAGTGTCTCAGTGTTAAATATAAGGTATTCTAATAATATAGAGGAAGAACACCTAATTTAGACTGAACTGGGCTGCGATATAAGGGAAAGATTCCGGGAAAAGTTGACAACTGAATTGAATGTCAAAAGGTAAGTATATGTGGGCTAAATAAAGAGTTGTAGAAATTTATTTTTCTGATGTTTTGAATGACCTCTCCTTACTAATTAAAAGAATGTGGTGAAATTAAAGTTCATTGAAAAAGTCCCAAGAGGAAACAAATATATTTTTGTAATGAAAACATTGAATCTAGAGTACTTGGCAGAGTTACATGTCTAGTGTAATGACACTTTGAGTGGAAAGGGAAGATGATGAAGATGATGTCATTGTCCCCTTAGGCAGAAGGATCAACATTTAGTGACTTCAAGAATCACTCATCATGCTGTTTAAAAATAATAATTTCTGGGTTGTCTCCATGAATTCTGATTTAGTATGTCTGGAGGGAGGCCTAGGAATATGAATTTGTAACATGCCACCCAGGTAAGTACAGGGTTTTTTGTTCTTTGATTTTTATTTCCATCATCATGCCCTGCTCTTTTCTGTCCTACTACTAGCACATTCACAAGAGGCTGCTGTTTTCAAAATGAATTTTTTTTTAATGCTAAGTAACGATGGAAAAGATATAAAATAAGGAAGTCATACAATTAGTTAAGCTTATACAGTATGAAGGTCCTGCTGCTACTGTAAATGCAAGGTAGGCTTTGAACTTAGGACATCTTTATAGGGCCATTCTTGGATTATTTTCATTCCCAGCAAAGGATTACCCTGTGAGACTGCTCCACTTTATTTCCTGCCACATAAAAGTTTGTCAGTTGTTCATTTTACTTCTAAATCATTTGAGCATAAACATCTAATTTTAACTCTATTGCCTACTTGAACTTCTTCAGCTCCCTTTGGGTTTCCTACTCAAAGGAACATTCTTATCCTTAGCTGATTTTAAAGGACATATTAATATCTCAAATAAGCCAACACTCTATTTACTCTACATAGAAAGGGACCTTTGTTGGATCCCTCATAATGATAGCACCACAGGTTAGAGATACCTTCTCCATAAAATAATAATACCTATGACAAAGAACTTACACACATAACATCCCAGGCTTATCCATGATGCTCAGTAGATATTTGTTGAAAACTAGATAAATAAATTCAGTAATTGTGAGTCACTCAAAGACATTCTTGTCTCAGGATACTTATGTCAGGATACTTATGTCTAGGGAGAGAAAAGTGATATCTCACTCCAGATCTTATATTTGACATGGGAAAAAGTGACTAATGTCAAGAATAGCCAAGATGCTATTTTTATTTATTTATTTATTTATTTATTTATTTATTTATTTATTTATTTTTATTATACTTTAAGTTCTAGGATACATGTGCACAATGTGCAGATTTATTACATAGGTATACATGTGCCATGTTGGTTTGCAGCACCCATCATCTCGTCATTTACATTAGTTATTTCTCCTAACGCTATCCCTCCCCCAGCCCTCCACCCTCCAACACGCCCCAATGTGTGATGTTCCCCTCCCTGTCTCCATGTGTTCCCATTGTTCAACTCCCACTTATGAGTGAGAACTTGTGGTATTTGGTTTTCTGTCCTTGTGATATTTTGCTGAGAATGAAGGTTTCCAGCTTCATCCATGTCCCTGCAAATGACATGAACTCATCCTTTTTTATGGCTGCATAGTACTCCATGGTGTATATGTGCCACATTTTCTTTATCCAATCTATTATTGATGGACATTTGGGTTTATTCCAAGTCTTTGCTATTGTGAATAGTTCTGCAATAAACATGAGTGCATGTGTCTTTATAGTACCATGATTTATAATCCTCTGGGTATGTACCCAGTAATGGGATACCTGGGTCAAATGGCATTTCTAGTTCTAGATCCTTGAGGAATCTCCACACTGTCTTCCACAATGGTTGAACTAATTTACACTGCCACCAACAGTGTAAAAGCATTCCTATTTCTCGCACCTTCTCCAGAATCTGTTGTTTCCTGACTTTTTAATGATTGCCATTCTAACTGGTGTGAGATGGTATCTCATTGTGATTTTGATTTACATTTCTCCAATGACCAGTGATGATGAGCATTTTTTCACATGTCTGTTGGCTGCATAAATGTCTTCTTTTGAGAAGTGTCTGTTCATATCCTTCGCCCGCTTGTTGATGGGGTTGTTTGTTTTTTCTTGTAAATTTGCTTAAGTTCTTTGTAGATTCTGGATATTAGCCCTTTGTCAGATGGATAGATTGCATAAGTTTTCTCCCATTCTCGAGGTTGCCTGTTCACTCTGATGGTAGTTTCTTTTGCTGTGCAGATGCTCTTTAGTTTAATTAGATCCCGTTTGTCAATTTTGGCTTTTGTTGCCATTGCTTTTGGTGTTTTAGCCATGAAGTCTTTGCCCATGCCTATGTCCTGAATGGTAATGCCTAGGTTTTCTTCTAGGGTTTTCATGATTTTAGGTCTTACATTTAAGTCTTTGATCCATCTTGAGTTAATTTTTGTGTAAGGTGTAAGGAAGGGATCCAGTTTCAGCTTTCTATATATGGCTAGCCAGTTTTCCCAGCACCATTTATCAAACAGGGAATTCTTTCCCCATTGCTTGTTTTTGTCAGGTTTGTCAAAGATCAGATGGTTGTAGATGTATGGTGTTATTTCTGAGGACACTGTTCTGTTTCATTGGTCTATATATCTGTCTTGGTACCAGTACCATGATGTTTTGGTTGCTGTAATCTTGTAGTAGAGTTTGAAGTCAGGTAGCGTGATGCCTCCAGCTTTGTTCTTTTTGCTTAGGATTGTCTTCACTATGCGGGCTCTTTTTTGGTTCCATATGAAATTTAAAGTAGTTTTTTTTTCCAATTCTGTGAAGAAAGTCAGTGGTAGCTTGATGAAGATAGCATTGAAACTATAAATTACCTTGGGCAGTATGGCCATTTTCACGATATTGATTGTTCCTATCCATGAGCATGGAGTGTTCTTCCATTTGTTTGTGTCCTCTTTTATTTGGTTGAGCAGTGGTTTGTAGTTCTCCTTGAAGAGATCCTTCACATCCCTTGTAAGTTGGATTCCTAGGTATTTTATTCTTTTTGTAGTGATTGTGAATGGGAGTTCATTCATGATTTGGCTCTTTGTCTGTTCTTAGTGTATAGGAATGCTTGTGATTTTTGCACACTGATTTTTTATCCTGAGACTTTGCTGAAGTGGCTTATCAGCTTAAGAAGATTTTGGGCTGAGACGATGGGGTTTTCTAAATATACAAGCATGTCATCTGCAAATAGAGACAATTTTACCTCCTCTTTTCCTAACTGAATGTCCTTTATTTATTTCTCTTGTCTGATTGCCCTGGCCAGAACTTCCAACACTATGTTGAATAGGAGTGGTGAGAGAGGGCATCCTTGTCTTGTGCTGGTTTTCAAAAGGAATAGTTCCAGTTTTTGCCCATTCAGTATGATATTGGCTGTGGGTTTGTCATAAATAGCTCTTATTATTTTGAGATATGTTTCATCAATACCTAGTTTATTGAGAGTTTTTAGCATGAAAGGCTGTTGAATTTTGTCCAAGGCCTTTTCTGTATCTATTGAGATAATCATGTGGTTTTTGTCATTGGTTCTGTTTATGTGATGGATTATGTTTATTGATTTGTGTATGTTGAACCAGCCTTGCATCCCAAGGTTGAACCCGACTTGATCCTGGTGGATATGCTTTTTGATATACTGCTGGATTCAGTTTGCCTGTATTATATTGAGGATTTTCACATCAATGTTCTTAGGGATATTGGCCTAAAGTTCTCTTTTTTTGTTGTGTCTCTGCCAGCCTTTGGTATCAGGATGATTCTGGCCTCATAATATGAGTTAGGGAGGATCCCTCTTTTTCTGTTGATTGGAATAGTTTCAGAAGGAATGGTACCAGCTCCTCTTTGTACCTCTGGTAGAATTTGGCTGTGAATCCGTCTAGTCCTGGACTTTTTTTGGTTGGTAGGCTATTAATTATTGCCTCAATTTCAGAACCCTTTATTGGTGTACTCAGAGATTCAACTTCTTCCTGGTTTAGTCTTGGAAGGGTGCAAGTGTCCAGGAATTTATCCCTTTCTTCTAGATTTTCTAGTTTATTTGCATAGAGGTGTTTATAGTATTCTCTGCTGGTAGTTTGTATTTCTGTGGGATCAGTGGTGATGTCACCTCAATCATTTGATTCTTCTCTCTTTTCTTCTTTATTAGTCTGGCTAGTGGTCTATCTATTTTGTTGATCTTTTCACAAAACCAGCTCCTGGATTCATTGATTTTTTGAAGGGTTTTTTGTGTCTCTATCTCCTTCAGTTCTGCTCTGATCTTAGTTATTTCTTTTCTCCTGCTAGCTTTTGAATTTGTTTGCTCTTGCTTCTCTAGTTCTTTTAATTGTGATGTTAAAGTGTCAATTTTAGATTTTTCCTACTTTCTCTTGTGGGCATTTAGTGCTATAAATTTCCCTCTACACACTGCTTTAAATGTGTCCCAGAGATTCTGGTATGTTATGTCTTCATTCTCATTGTTTTCAAAGAACATCTTTATTTCTGCCTTCATTTTGTTATTTACCCAGTAGTCATTCAGGAACAGTTTGTTCAGTTTCCATGTAGTTGTGTGGTTTGAGTGAGTTTCTTAATCCTGAGTTCTAATTTGATTGCACTGTGGTCTAAGAGACAGTTTGTAGTGATTTCTGTTTTTTACATTTGCTGAGGAGTGTTTTACTTCCAATTATGTGGTCAATTTTAGAATAAGTGCAATGTGGTGCTGAGGAGAATGTATATTCTGTTGATTTGGGGTGGAGAATTCTGTAGATGTCTACTAGGTCTGCTTGGTCCAGAGCTGAGTTCAAGTCCTGGATATCCTTGTTAATTTTCTGTCTCATTGATCTGTCTACTATTGACAGTGGGGTATTAAAGTCTCCCATTATCATTGTGTGGGAGTCTAAGTCTCTTTGTAGGTCTCTAAGAACTTGCTTTATGAATCTGGGTGCTCCTGTATTGGGTGCATATATATTTAGGATAGTTAGCTCTCCTTGCTGAATTGATCCACTTACCATTTTGTAATGGCCTTCTTCATCTCTTTTGATATTTGTTGGTTTAAAGTCTGTTTTATCAGAAGCCAGGATTGCAAACCCTGTTTTTTTTTGCTTTCCATTTCCTTGGTAGATCTTCCTTCATCCCTTTATTTTGAGCCTGTGTGTCTTTGCATGTGAGATGGGTCTCCTGACTACAGCACACTGATGGGTGTTGACTCTTTATCCAATTTGCCAGTCTGTGTCTTAATTGGGGCATTTAGCCCATTTACATTTAAGGTTAATATTGTTATGTGTGAATTGTCATATGATGCTAGCTGGTTATTTCACCTGTTAATTGATGCAGTTTCTTCATAGCGTCAATGGTCTTTACAATTTGCCATATTTTTGCAGTGTCTGGTACTGGTTGTTCCTTTCCATGTTTAGTGCTTCCTTCAGGAGCTCTTGTAAGGCAGGCCTGGTGGTGACAAAATCTCTCAGCACTTGCTTGTCTGTAAAGGATTTTATTTCTCCTTCACTTATGAAGCTTAGTTTGGCTGGATATGAAATTCTGGGTTGAAAATTCTTTAAGAATGTTGACTATTGGCCCCCACTGTCTTCTGGCTTTTAGGGTTTCTGCCGAGAGATCCGCTGTTAGTCTGATGGGCTTCCCTTTGTGGGTAACCCAACCTTTCTCTCTGGCTGTCCTTAACATTTTTTCCTTCATTTCAACCTTGGTGAATCTGATAATTATGTGCCTTGGGGTTGCTCTTCTTGAGGAGTATCTTTGAGGTGTTCTCTGTATTTTCTGAATTTGAATGTTGGTCTGCCTTGCTAGATTGGGGAAGTTCTCCTGGATAATATCCTGAAGAGTGTTTTCTAACTTGGTTCCATTCTCCCTGTCACTTTCAGGTACAACAATCAAATATAGATTTTGTCTTTTCACATAGTCCCATATTTCTTGGAGGCTTTGTTCATTTCTTTTCATTCTTTTTTCTCTAATCTTGTCTTCTCACTTTATTTCATTAATTTTATCTTCAATCATTGATATCCTTTCTCCTGCTTGATCAAATTGGCTATTGAAACTTGTGTATGCTTCACAACGTTCTTGTACTGTGGTTTTCAGCTCCATCAGTTCATTTAAGCTCTTCTCTACACTGGTTATTCTAGTTAGCCATTCGTCTAACCTTTTTTCAAGGTTTTTAGCTTCCTTGAGATGGGTTAGAATATGCTTTTTTAGCTCAGAGATGTTCATTATTACCAACCTTCTGAAGCCTACTTCTGTCAACTTGTCAAACTCATTCTCTGTCCAGTTTTGTTCCTTTGGAGGAGAAGACGTGCTCTGGTTTTGGAATTGTCAGCCTTTCTACTGTGGTATCTCTCCATCTTTGTGGTTTTATCTCCCTTTGGTCTTTGACGTTGGTCACCTACAGATGGGGTTTTGGTGTGAATGTCCTTTCTGTTGATACTTCTTTCTGTTTGTTAGTTTTCCTTCTAACAGCTGCAGGTCTGTTGGAGTTTGCTGCAGGTCCACTGTAGACCCTGTTTGCCTGGGTATCACCAGCGGAGGCTTCAGAACAGCAAATATTGCTGCCTGATCCTTCCTATGGAAGCTTCATCCCAGAGGGACACCTGCCTGTATGAGGTGTCTGTCGGCCCCTACTGGGAGGTGTCTCCTAGTCAGGTTACACAGGGGTCAGGGACCAACTTGAGGAGGCAGTCTGTCCGTTATCAGAGCTCAAACCCCATGCTGGGAGAACCACTGCTCTCTGCAGAGCCATCAGGCAGGGACATTTAAGTCTGCAGAAGCTGTCTGTTGCCTTTTGTTCATATATGCCCTACCCCCACAGGTGGAATCTAGAGAGGCAGTAGGACTTGCTGAGCTGTGGTGGGCTCCACCCAGTTTGAGCTTCCCTGCTGCTTTGTTTACACTGTGAGCATACTCAACTGCCTACTCAAGCCTCAGCAATAGTGGATGCCCCTCCCCCTGCCAAGCTCCAGTGTCCCAGGTTGATCTCAGATGGCTGCGCTAGCAGCGAGCAAGGATCCGTGGTCGTGGGACCCAGTGAGCCAGGCACGGGAGGGAATCTCCTGGTCTTCCGGTTGCTAAGGCCATGGGAAAAGCACAGTATTTGGGCAGGAGTGTACTGTTCCTCCAGGTACAGTCACTTATGGCTTCCCTTGGCTAGGAAAGGGAAATCCCCTGACCCCTTGTGCTTCCCGGGTGAGGTGACTCCCTGCTCTGCTTTGGCTCACCCTCCATGGGCTGTACCCACTGTCCAGTCAGTCCCAATGAGATGAACCATGTACCTCGGTTGGAAATGCAGAAATCACCCATCTTCTGTGTCAATCTTGCTGGGAGCTGTAGACCAGAGCTGTTCCTATTTGGCCATCTTGGAAGCAACTCCAAGGTGCGATTTAAATACTCATTGAAATAGCATGTAACCATCATCTCCTATCTTTCTCAAGTTGTTAGTTAATTTCCCATGATCCCTTCAGAGCTGGTCTATTAACTAAGGATTACTGGAGAATAGTAACTAGGCTACTTGCTTTTCCCCCAAGAACTCAAAAGTGTCAAAGTGAAATTATGATATAGATGATTTGAAGCTATTCATTTGACAAACATTTTGGAAGTTCTTTCATGAGCTTTAGAGGTAGAAGAGCAAAATATTGTTGTCCACTAAGAGCTTATAAGTTGACAAAGTTCACATAACACAGTAATGAGCACGTTTGATTAAAACAAAAGGAGTCTGTGTTTCTGCAGCTATATAGAAACTAGTAAACCTTTGGAATATGTCTCCAGTACTGAACAGGGACCTTTCTTCAAAGTGAGGGGGCCTGGAGAAATAATTCAATGATGTTAGGAGATCTGATTTGGAAATGCAGTTATTAAATGAAAGTATGTATTATGCTATTAAGTCCCCAAAAGCCCAAACAAATGTAGAGACAACAGGGAGATTTATAATTTAAATTTGGTTTCAAAATCTTCAAGACAACACCTATTTTTATTATTTTATTTATTTATTTTGGGAGGGGATAGAGTTTTGTTTTGTCGTCCAGGCTGGAGTGCAATGGGGTGATCACAGCTCACCGCAACCTCTGCCTCCCGGGTTCAAGTGATTCTCCTGCCTCAGCCTCCTGAGGAGCTGGGATTACAGGCATGTGCCACCATGCTCGGGTAATTTTGCATTTTTAGTAGAGATGGGGTTTCTCCATGTTGGTAAGGTTGGTCTCGAACTCCTGACTTCAGGTGACCTGCCTGCCTTAGCCTCCCACAGTGCTAGGATTACAGGTGTGAGCCACTGCGCCTGGCCTACATCACATATTTTTATTTTTGAAAATTTAGTTATCTGATGTGTACAATGCAATAGGGGAAAGCTTACAACAGGGCCATGTGTGGCCTTGTCTCTTTCATTTCTCCTTTTGATGTCTCTGAGACTAGAGCATAATCCATCACGTGGGCTTATTTTCCTGAGAAGGCTGCTCAATTAAGGGTTACAAGCTTTGAAAGAGAAAGATGAAGTGCTGATGACCCAACACAGGAATTAACATTTAAAAATTGTTCTGTACCAGCTCACAACGTTGGTAACAACAACAGTAATTATCATTGTTATTTTAGAAAGCTGTGAGTCTCATAGTGGGTGTGGAAAGTCAAACTGGAGAATAAACTTCCTCTGTTTGATTGACATTTTCGGAGCAATTCTTCTTTACCCTAATCATCAACTCAGATTTGCGGAAACAATCTCTCTCTGAAAAATCACAAGCAAGTTCCAATAAGGTAAGAATTCTGTTTGAATAAAGTGAAATAAAGGAAAAATCACATCTAATTCAAAGTACTTAGCTATTAAAAAATTATTCCTTCTGGCTCCATAGACACATGAAATACATATTTAAAAGTTAATTGAAAAAGAAGGAAAACAAATCTCCAGTGCACCTTTTTATCCATATACAAATTTTAATGTATTCTCCAAAACAGTTCAATGTTATTTACTGTGGATATCATTGGACAGACATTGAAAATGGTATTATTCTTGCTCTCCTGTTTTGTTGTTTTTTCTTTTTTAGATGTGTCTCACTCTGTCACCCAGGCTTGAGATCAGTGGCATGATCTTGGCTCACTGCAACCTCCACCTCCCAGGTTCAAGCAATTCTTCTACCTCAGCCTCCTGAGTAGCTGGGACTGCAGGTGTGCACCACCACACCTGGCTAATTTTTGTATTTTTAGTACAGATGGGGTTTCACCATGTTGGCCAGGCTGGTCTCAAATTCCTGAGCTTAAGTGACCCACCTGCTTCGTCCTCCCAAAATGCTGTGATTGCAGGCCTGAGCCACTGCCTCCCAAAGTGCTGGGATTACAGGCATGAGCCACCGCGCCCCACCTAATTCCTGCTCTCTTGAAACGTACATTCCATTGTCCTCAGATCTCTTCATAGCGTTACTTCTAGTTACTCCCTAGTTGATCTCATCTATCTCATAGCTTAAAAGCAATAATTTTCTTGATCTCATTCTAGATAAAAGTCAAAGCCCAAAAAATAACTCCCCAATTATCTTTAGTCAGGACTTATCCCTTGAATTTCATAATCCTATATCTAACTCCCTAATTGACATTTTCACTGGGATGATTATTTTGCACCTCCAGTTAACTGTCTCAAATGGAATGCATTCTCCTCTCACCACCCACATCTCTGAGAATCTATTCTTTCTCTACCCTTCTACCCAAAATGCTAACTTCATTCTTCCAGTCAATCTGGCAGGAAATTTTGCAGTCATCTATAATCTCTCTTTTTATCCCTGTCCCTCCCTCTCCCATCTGTCTCCTGCACTTTGATGTATTAATATACAATCTATACCAAATTTTCTTAATGGCAACCATGAAACATAACCAAAATTCCATGACTCCTAAATATTATCTCTACTGTTACCCTACCTAAGCTACCATGTTTTCTTACCTGGAATATTGTGATCACTTCCAGCTGGTCTCTTAGCTTCCAACACTGACCCGTACATTCTGTTTTCCATACAGCAGCCAGAAGGACCTTTTAAAAAATGTTAGCTCTTGATACTCTTCAACTCAAAACCTTCCAGTGATTTTCTATCCCATTGTAGATAAAAGACTATACCACAAGAATGAACTCCAAGGCTCAAAATGGTCTGCACATATCAGTCCCCTAACCCCCAACTCTATATTATTTCCTGCTTTTCTGTCAAGCTCCTTTCATTTCAAGCACATTTTCTCCCCCAGATTTTGCATGTGGTCTTTGCTTTGCTTGGTATGTTCTTTTCTTCATATACCTGCATGACTCTTTCATTTTATTTAACACTTCATTTAAATTTCACTTTATCAGAGTGAAATTGATAAATTTCTGTCCAAGTCTAGATGGCTTGGACAGATGGCTTCCCTGTCCAAGCCATCTAGAATAATACATCCACCCTCCTTACTCTGTCTTTAAATCTTTCTTCATAGTATTTCTCATGCTTCTAGTTATCTGTCATTACAGTTGATTCTCATTATTTGAGGATTCAATATTTGTGAATTTTCTTACTCGCTAAAATTTATTTGTAACCCCAAAATCAATAATCATGGCACTTTTATCATTATTCATAGACAAGGGCAGTGGTGAAAAATTTGAGTAGGGTAAGGTGTACATTTTCAGCTGAGGTCTAACAAGGAGACATTCTGCCTTCTTTTTTCAGCTCCCGTACTGCAAACAAATGTCCTTTTTTCAGTCTATTTAGTGCCCCATTTTTACCATCTTTGTGCTTTTTCTTCTTGATTTTGCTGTTAAAAAGGGCCTCCAAACGTGGTGCTAAAGTACTGTCTAGTGTTTCTAAGTGCAAGAAGGCTGTGGTATGCCTTCCAGAGAAAATATGTGTGTTAGACAAGCTTCATCATGCATGAGTTAAAGTGCTACTGGCCATGAGTTCAATGTTAATAAGTCAACAATATATATTAAATAACATGCCTTTAAACAGAAACACACTTTAAAACAAAGTTACATATTGATTTCTTGATGAAAATTTTGTGACCAGAGGCCTACAGGAACCTAATGTATATTTCCCTTAGGAGTGATGATCTAGTATTCACTAATTTAGTGTTTGGGATAACTTTATAGAACATAACTACCACAAATAATGAGAACTGATTATAGCTGGTTTTTCTATTTCTTTATTTTCCTCTGATAAAAAATAAACTTATGAGAGCAAGGACTTTGTGTTCATCCTGTAAGTTCAAAGGTACTCAATAAATATTTAATGAAATAATGAAAGGAAGAAAGAAAGAAATTCTCATTGTAAAAGAATTACAATAAGTAGTTTGAGAAAAATTCTGTAAACTGGTAAACAAACCAATTAAAAATAGAAATTGTGAAACCCTCTCTGAAGTTGATGTACAAGTTAATGAGGTAGAACAACCAGTCAGCAGGGGTGTTGTCATTTGAGTTGAGTCCTAAGAGGAGAAGAATAAGCCATACCTGAGCAGCAATAAGGAAACAACATTCCAGGCAGAGAGAATAAGAAGTGAAGGCTTGGTTGGGCATGGTGGCTCACACCTGTAATCCCAGCACTTTGGGAGGCTGAGGCGGGCAGATCACCTGAGGTCAGGAGTTCAAGACCAGCCTGGCCAACACGGTGAGAGCCCGTCTCTGCTAAAAAAAAAAATACAAAAATTAGCCAGGTGCAGTGGCGCATGCCTGTAATCCTAGTGACTTGGGAGGCTGAGGCAGGAGAATTGCTTGAACGCCGGAGGCGGAGGTTACCATGAGCTGAAATCACGCCACTGCACTCCAGCCTGGGTGACAGAGTGAGACTCGGTCTCAAAAAAAAAAAAAGAAAAGAAAAAAAAAGAAGTGAAGGCTCGCAGCAAGAGGGATGGCAGCAGAGATTAAATGATAAAGTGAAGCCAGTGGGAGCAATGGGAAGAATGGTGACAAAAAGGTGAAAGACACAGTGGAAGAAGTGGGAGGGATGCTGGATCAGGAAAACATTTTGTACTTTGGATATTCTAAGAGAAATAGGAATCCACTGAAATATTTTAAAGAACATGAATTGATAAATGTGATTTATACTCCAAGGAAAAGAAAGATAAAGAGGAAAATGATTGGTCAATTAATGGGCCCAGTTTTTAGTTGCCATATATTCTGTCACTACCAAATAATGGTCTATTCTGGGATGGCACCTTAGCTGGTCCAGGAACTACACAGACTGCTATGGGACCTCTAGTTTTATTTCTTAAAAATAAACTTGAAGAAGCTTTATCAGAGTTTCAGGTGTATAACAGGTAGCTTTGGCCAAAGAATTCTTCTCCATTTGGAAAGCACCTCTTCTTCAAACAAATGTGCAGATGTGGAAAAAGACACACGGAAACAAATTGGGGAGACAGGAACACTTTTGTAATCAGAATCATCTGTCAAAGGAACCCTGCTGCGTGGTGGCTCACGCCTGTAATCCCAGCACTTTGGGAGGTTGAGTGAGTGGATCACCTGAGGTCAGGAGTTCAAGATCAGCCTGGCCAACATGGCGAAACCCCATCTCTACTAAAAATACAAAAATTAGCTGGGCCTGGTGGCATGTGCCTGTAATCCCAGCTACTCGAGAGGCTGAGGCAGGAGAATTGCTTGAACCTGGGAGGCAGGGGTTACAGTGAGCCAAGATTGCACCACTGCATTCCAGCCTGGGTGACAGAGTGAGATTCCGTGTCAAAAAAATAAAAATAATTAAAAAAAAGGAAGCCTGCTGATCTGGAAATCAAGGAGTAGCAAATATTGCAAACAAACTCACTCAATTTTATTAGGTATGATATATTTTATAAGTCTTGTATCATGCTCAGCACTTCAAATGTGCTGCGTAAATTGGTAGTGATTATTATTATGAATTCTTATAATGAGTTTGGAGGTCAGTGGTTTTGAAAATTTGAAATCAATACCAAGAGGAACTCTCAAAACCACACAAGTACACGGAAACTAAACAACTTACTCAGGAATGACTTTTGAGCAAATGACAAGACAGAAATAAAAATAAAAATGGAAAGAAATAGAAATAGAGATGCAACATGCCAATGCCTCAGGGAAATAGCAAAAGCAGGGTTAATAGGAAAGTTTACAATTATAAGTGCCTACATCAAAAAGAAAGATCTCAAATTAACAACGTAAAGTCACATTTCAAGGAACTAGAGAAACAACAACAAACCAAATCTAAGCTAGGCAAAGAAAAGAAATAAGAAAGATCAGAGCAGAACTAAATGGAATTAAAATAAAAAAAAAAGTATACAAAGCTTCAATGAAAAAAAAGTTGTTTTTTTATAAGAATAAACAAAATTGATAGTCTACTAGCTAGGTTAACCAAGAAAATAAGAGAGGAGATTCAAATAAGCACAGTCAGGGCCGGGCACGGTGGCTCACGCCTGTAATCCCAGCACTTTAGGAGGCCGAGGCAGGTGGATCACGAGGTCAGGAGATCAAGACCAACCTGGCTAACACGGTGAAACCCCGTCTCTACCAAAATACAAAAAATTAGCTGGGCATGGTGGCGGCCCAGCTACTCAGGAGGCTGAGGCAGGAGAATGGCGTGAACCCGGGAGGCGGAGCTCGCAGTGAGCCAAGATTGTGCCACTGCACTCCAGCCTGGGCGACAGAGTGAGACTCCATCTCAAAAAAAAAAAAAAAAAAAAAAAAGCACAATCAGAAATGATAAAGGGGACGTTACCACAGAAGTACAAAAGGTCGTCAGAGACTACCATGAACATCTCTAGCACACAAACTAGAAAACCTATAGGAAATGGATAAATTCCTGGAAACATAGAATCTCTCATGATTGAACCAGGAAGAAATAGAAATCTTAATCAGACCAATAACTAGTAATAAAATCGAATAAGTAATAAAAAAAATCTATCAGTGAAAAAAAGCCCGGGACCAGACAGATTCACAGTCAAATTGTACCAGATTTACAAAGAAGAGCTGGTATCAATCTTACTGAAAGTATCTCAAAAATTCAAGAAGGGTGGATTCCTCTTTAACTCATTCTATAAAACCAGTATTATCCTGATATCAAAATCTGTCAAGGACACAAGAACAAAAGCAAACTACCAGACAATATTCCTCATCAATATAGATGCCAAAATCTTCAACAAAATGCTAGCAAACCAAATCCAACAGCACATCAAAAAGATAATCCATCATGATCAAGTGGTTTTATTTCAGAGATGCAAGGATCATTCAGCCTATGCAAATCATAAGTGTGATTTACCAAAGAAGCATAATTAAAAACAGAAACCATATGATTATCTCAATAGATGCAGAAAAAGCGTTCGATAAAATCCAGCATTTCTTCATGATAAAATTTCTCAACAGGCATCGAAGGAACATATCAGAAAATATATGACAAACCAATAGCCAAGATCACGCTGAATAGGGAAAAGTTGAAGGCATTCCCTCTAAGAACTGGAACAAGATAAGGATATATACTCTCACTACTTCTTTTTTTTTTTTGGTAGGGATTTGTCTTTTTTTTGTTGTTTTTTTGGGGTTTTTTTTTTAATTATACTTTAAGTTCTAGGGTACATGTGCACAATGTGCAGGTTTGTTACATATGTATACATGTGCCATGTTGGTGTGATGCACCCATTAACTCGTCATTTACATTAGGTATATCTCCTAATGCTGTCCCTCCTCCTTCCCCCCACCCCACGACAGGCCCCAGTGTGTGATATTCCCCTTCCTGTGTCCAAGTGTTCTCATTGTTCAATTCCCACCTATGAGTGAGAACATGTGGTGTTTGTTTTTTTGTCCTTGTGACAGTTTGCTGAGAATGATGGTTTCCAGCTTCATCCATGTCCCTACAAAGGACATGAACTCATCATTTTTTATGGCTGTATAGTATTCCATGGTGTATATGTGCCACATTTTCTCAATCCATTATATCATTGATGGACATTTGGGTTTATTCCAAGTCTTTGCTATTGTGAATAGTGCCACAGTAAACATACATGTGCATGTGTCTTTGTAGCAGAATGATTTATAATCCCTTGGGTTTATACCTAGTAATGGGATTGCTAGGTCAAATGGTATTTCTAGTTCTAGATCCTTGAGGAATCGCCACACTGTCTTCCACAATGGTTGGACTAGTTTACAGTCCCACCAACAGTGTAAAAGTGTTCCCATTTCTCCACATCCTCTCCAACACCTGTTGTTTCCTGACTTTTTAATGATTGCCATTCTAACTGGTGTAAGATGGTATCTCATTGTGGTTTTGATTTGCATTTCTCTGATGACCAGTGATGATGAGCATTTTTTCATGTGTCTGTTGGCTGCATAAATGTCTTCTTTTGAGAAGTGTCTGTTCATATCCTTTGCCCACTTCTTGATGGGGTTGTTTGTTTTGTTCTTGTAAATTTGTTTGAGTTCTTTGTAGATTCTGGATCTTAGCCCTTTGTCAGATGAGTAGATTGCAAAAATTTTCTCCCATTCTGTGGGTTGCCTGTTCACTCTGATGATAATTGCTTTTGCTGTGCAGAAGCTCTTTAGTTTAATTATAAGTCCTAGTCAGCACAGTCCATCAAGGGAAAGAAATAAAAGATGTCCAAACAGGAAGAGAGAAGTCAAATTATCTCTGTTCATTGATGACATGATCTTATACCTAAAAATCCCTAAAGATTCTTCCAAAAGTCTCATAGACTAGATAAATGGTTTCTGTAAGGTTTTAGGGTACAAAATTAACATACAAAATTCAGTTGCATGTCTATGCACCAACAATACTCATGCTGACAACCAAATCAAGAACTCAATCCCATTTACAATAAAGACACAAAAACAAAAATATCTAGTAATACATTTAACCAAGGAGGTAAAAGGCCTCTACGAGAAGAACTACAAAGCACTGATTAAGAAAATTGTAGATGACACAAACAAATGGAAAAACATTTCATGCTCATGGATGGGGAAAATCAATATTGTTAAAATGACCATGTTGCCCAAGCAATCTACAGATTCAATGTAATTCCTATCAAATTACCAACATCATTTTTTCACAGAATTAGAAAAAAGTATTCTAAAATTCATATGGAACCAAAAAGGAGCTTGAATAGCCAGAGCATCCTAAGCAAAAAGAGCAAAGCAAAACAACATGTTACCTGACTCCAAAGTATACTGCAAGACTATCATAACAAAACAGTATGATACTGGTACAAAAAAAGACACATAGGTCCATGGAACAAAATAGAGAACTCAATAATAAAGCCACTTACTTACAGCCAACTGAGCATCAACAAAGTTGAAAAAAATAAACCATGCAGGAAGGACACCCTATTTAATAAGTGGTGCTGGGAAATCTGGCTATTCATATGCATAAAAATAAAACAGGACCCCTGTCTTACCATATAAAAAAATTAGCTTACAATTGATTAGACTTAAATGTAAGACTTTAAAATATAAAAACTCTTGAAGAAAACCTGGGAAAAACTCTTCTGGATATTAGCCTAGGCAAAGAATTTATGACTAAGATCTCAAAGGCAAATGCAACATAAACACAAATTGATAAATGGAATTTAATCAAACTAAAGAGCTTCTGCACAGCAAAGGAAACAGTCAACAGAGTAAGCAGACAACCTATACAATAGGACAAAATACTTGCAAACTATGCATTTGACAAATGACTAATATTCAGAATCTGTAAGGAACTCAAATCAATAAGAAAAAACAAGCCCATTAACAAGTGGGCAAAGGACATGAATAGCCATTTTTCAAAATAATACATACAAGATGCCTACAAACATGAAAAAACAATCATCACTAATCATAAGAGAAATGCAAATTTAAACTATTATGGGATATCTCACATCAGTCGGAATGGCTATTACTAAAATGTCAAAAAGTAACAGATGTTGGTGAGGATGTGGAGAATAGGGAACGCTTATGCACTGTTGGTGGGAATGTAAATTAGTTAAACTATGGTAAACAGTGTGGAGATTTCTCAAAGGACTAAAAATAGAACTACCAATTCAACTCAGCATCCCATGACTAGGTATCTATCCAAAGGAACAGAAATTGTTTTATCAAAAAGACGCCTGCTCTTGTATGTTTATTGCAGTACTATTCACAATAGCAAAGTCATGGAACCAATGTAAGTGTCTATTATTGGTTGACTGGATAAAGTAAATTTGGTATATATGCTTCAATATATGCATCATGGAAGACTATGAAGCCATAAAAAAGAAGGAAATCATGTCCTTTGTAGCAACATGGATGGAACTGGAGGCCATTATCCTAAGTGAAATAACTCAGAAACAGAAATCAAATACTGCATGTTCTCATTGTAAGTGGGAGCTAAAAAATGGCTACACATGGACATAAAGATGGAAATAATAGTTACTGGGGACTTCAATGGGGGGAGGATTGTGGGGGAGTGAGGGTTGAAAATTTTACCTATTTAGGGTACATTGTTCAGTGTTTGGGTAATGGATTAACCAGAAGCCCAAACCTCACCGTTATATAATATATCCATGTAACAAACCTGCACATGTACCCCCAAATCTAAAATAAATTAACAAATAAAAGTCAGTGGTATTAGGCATTTCTAATAAGTTTCATCTCAGACAAAGAACTCTGATTTCTAGTGGGCTCTCAGACCAGTATGTTAGGAGGCGCTACCATAGAATCTAGGCTCAAAGAATACTGCGATCAACTACCAATGTCTGCTAAAATGAGGAAAGGGAAACTGTAGTGCGCCAAAAGTTCATCACACCTAAAGTAAAATACCCTGAAAAACTAGCCTCTAATAGAGCAATATGTTGTACCGAAATCAGCATGTGATTAATATCAGACAGAATCATCTTCAAATCCTTGCTACACAATTTCTAAGTGTGTGTGATTTTAAAAGTATGTACACATCACTGTCTCTACACAAGGGGGACAGCACTATCTACTTTTGATGTTTAAAATGGTGACCAAAGAAGATCATGGATGTAAGTAGATAATTTAAACTTGGTAAACATTAGCTTTCTTTAACTTCCTTCCCATTTCCCTAATATCTCTTGGAAAGACCTTTTTTGTTCCAAGGCTCAGCAGCCATTTTTGGCAGGATGCTCACTTAGTGGATCATTCATAGAACTCAAGGCTTATTTTTGTCACCTTTCTCCATGGATTAACGTTCCATCCCTCCCTACCTCTCCCCATCCAATTTATATAATTATTATTGTTATATATATATATGTATATGTATATATATATATGTGTGTGTGTGTGTATATATATATATATATATATATATATATATATATATATATATATATATATGGTAACCTGGAGTTGAAAAATAATGTCTAGAAATATTCCTTGAAAGCACTTACTAGAATAGGGCAAGTATGTCTAGGACCCGAATTAAGGTACCAAGGTTAGGCATAAAGAACATCACAAATTTGAGTTATATTGTAAAGGGATCCTATATTAGAATTTGTGGATTATACTGATTGCTGAAATAGTTTAGATCTATACTTGAATGAGAGCTGTTGCTCACCTCTGCTCTCATGAGTGTTGAAATCAGGAGACATTTGTCTTTGGAGTCTGCTCTCTACTTTGAGTCAAACCTCCTGCCTTTCATGCAAGTCTAAGCTAGTCTCCTAATAGGAGACTCTGAATTTTTGTCAAAAGACAGGAATTTGATAAATTTAATATATAAGAAAGTTAATCCTTCATGCCTCCAAGAGATATCTGTACTTTAAAATGCTTTTCTATGTGTGAGAAAAAGGTGCTAAAACAAACGTTATCAAATGGAAGAATTTTAGGTGTTAGGAAAGAAATTATATATACTATAAATCTGATTTCATGGGTTAAAAACCCTATGTTGTAGCCACAGCTGGAGCCTAAGTCCTCTGCACAGACACTCTAGTGTGGGTCTTTATGCTTAATTAATTCACTTTGTTTTCTTGTATACAACCCCTATGTTGTAGCCACAAGTGCTAAATCTTATATTCCATAATTTGACATGTTTTTATTGAATATTTTCTGTGTGCCAGGGCTGGGCTAAGTACTACAGATTCTAGGAAGGAGACTGTGTCCTTTCTAATTGCTAAGGGAAATAAGAAATGGACAAGAATTAGACTCTGTGCAGTATTTGGCCAGTGGTTACCACAGAACTTAAATGGTAAGTATTCCGAGACCTGAAAGATCATCTTTAACTGTGAACTAATCAGAGAAGGCTTCATGGAAGAAGATGGCGTATGAAATTTGCCTTAAGAAAATGGAAGGCTCTAAATAATGTGGATTAAATTAAAAGGGAGAGAACTTTACAACTATAGGAGCAACATATGCAAATATGCCAAATATCTTCAGGACATGGTAAAGAGCCCAGTGTGGCCAGATTTAGGGCATACATTTATATGGAACATGCTTGGGGCATGTTTTTAAGTGTTATGCTTTTGTGTGTATGATTGATTGAAAAAATAGAGAACTGTTAATCTTGAAGAAGGAATGGTGCTAATAGAACAGTGATTTAAGAAGAAAACTTTGCAATTTATATATATAGTAAGCTGGAGTTGAAAAATAATGTCTAGAAATATTCCTTAAAAAGTACTTACTAGAATAGGGCAAGTATGTCTAGGACCCGAATTAAAGTACCAAGGTTAGGCATAAAGAACATTACAAATTTGAGTTATATTGTAAAGGGATCCCATATTAGAATTTGTGGATTATACTGATTGCTGAAATAGTTTAGATCTATACTTGCATGTGAAAAACTAAGTCCTGAAGTGACTGGGCATTTTACTTGGATATTTGACAACAACATTGGAAATGCATTGCTGTTAGGAAATAAAAGAGGAAATAAGCAACTTGTTGCCATTTAAGACTTTCAATGTGGCTGAATCGTGAATAAAAGACTTCTGATTCCCATATCTGAAATAGTACATTCGATTTATGATACAGAAAAGGAATGTAAAAAGTCCTCAGTCACCCATATAAAATATGCATGCCAAGAGAGCATGCACTTAGTGCCATTCTATCATATCTTCTCTATACTTTTTAGGTCAAATGAAATGATTTATCAGCTTGTGCTAAATTGCCAATTCTCAGATAATGTATACCTCCAACTCAGATCATTTGAAAGGATTTATCTCTTGGCTTGTAGAACACTACATACAAAGTGGTATTGTTTTTCTTCTCTGACTTTGCTTGCAGTGCAGACATTTAATACACAAAACTATTGATTTTCTTGTTTCACAAATGCTTCCAAAGCTCTTAACTTGACCTTATCCAGCCAAGAACAACCAGTTTACATTTGATCGTGATCACCTGCAGTTTCAGAACATTTTATGAAGGCTGATTCTTTTCTCTTGACTTTTTTGGGTGATAAGAACTTCAGTTTGAATCGGAGGAACAGACTACGGGAAACTGAGTATCAATGATCTAGAACCAATCATGTGTAGATCTCTGCACAATTTTATAAATCTTATTTTATCTTTTGATCCAATCCCAAATATTATTTCTTAAATTTTACTTTTATTGAAATAATTATACACACATGCTAATATATGAAAATAATTTAAAAGTATGTACAATAAAAATGTAAACTTTAACCCCTCCAAAAAACTCAATTAGTTAACATATTTTGTGCACCTTTCCAGAAATCTTATATGCATATATGAATGTGTGTCTTTTGTGTTTGTTCTGTTAAACTGTTTATTTTATTTTTAAATTAATATAGAATAAAATTTAGCTTATATTGGTTTACAGTTTTATGAATTTTAGCATGCAAATATTTTTGTGTTAACACAACCCCAGTCAGGAGAAAGATCAGTTTCTTCATCTGGCAACCACTGATTGAATAATTACCACAGTTTTGTCTTTTCAAGAATGTCATCTAAGGGGAATCAAACAGACTATAACCTTCAGGCACTGTCTTCTTTTGCTGAACACAATGCCTTTGAGATGTATTCAAGTTGTTGCATCTATCAACAGTTTACTTCTTTTCATTCCTGAGTAGTATTCCATTACATAGATATATCACAGTTTGTTTATCAATTCACCCATTAAAGGCAATTTGGCTTATTTCCAGTTTGGCCTAATTTCCAGATAATTAGGAATAGAGCTGCTATAAAGATTTATACAGAGGTTTTGTGTGAATTTAAGTTTTTATTTCCAAAGGTTAAATACCTAGGAGTTAAATTTCAGGGGCCACATGGTAAATGTATAATCTATAAGAAACTGGAAAGCTTTTCCTAAAGGTTGATTCCCACTAGTAATCTTTGAGAATTCCAGTTGCTTCATCATATCCTCTCAGCACTTAGTCTTGTCAGTAATTTTTATTTTAGACATTCTGATAGGTTTGTAGTCATATCTCATGATGGTCTTAATTTCATTTTTGTAATGACTAATTGTATTGAGTATTCTTTCTTGTGCTTATTCTCCATTCATATATTCTCTTTGGTGAAGTGTTTGTTCAAGTATTTTGCTGATTATTTAACTGGGTTTTTTTTTTTCTCTCTTTTGAGTGATTTATAATTTTTTAAAAATTAATCTATTATTTGTAATTTCATTTTCTTAACCTCATTTTCTTAACCTATCTTTCTGCAGAGCAAAAAAATGTAATTCTTTGGAAGTATACCTTATCAGTATTTAGTTCAATGCATCATGCCTAAATGTTTTTTGTTTAAACCATAAAATTTAAAAGAAGATGAAAAAAGACAAATTCATAATTACAGTTGGGCATTGATACTTCTCTCCCAGTATAATTAATAGTTAGTACATACAAAATCGTTAAATATATGGAAGAATGGAACAACATCAGCCAACTGGATTTAATTGACACGTAGGATTCTCCAACCAATAGTATAATACATATTCTTTCCAAGCGCAAATGAAACATTCACCAAGATAAATCATGTTCTGGGCCATAAGCTAAACCTTAACAAAATCAAGTTTTGTCAGGTTTTGAAATCATGCAAAATATGTTTTCTGACAATAATAGAATTAATCTAGAAATCAATTACTAAAAGATGAAAATCTGCAAACACTTGGAAATTAAGCAACATATTTCTAAATAACCTATGGGCTAATGAGAAAGCCTTGAGGAAAATTAGAAAATATTTTTAACTGAAGAAATATGAAAGTACCACATAAAATTTTGTGAGATGCTAGAGCAGTGTATGGGGGTGCGGAATTTATAGCAATAAAACTCATATTAGAAAAGTTGTCAAATCAATCAGCAAAAAGCTTTCTTAAATCAATAATTTAAGTTCTGTTTTAAGTCTACTTTACCTGATATTAATGAGCCACTCCAGCTATCTCCTTGTTTTAAATTTTCCCATTTTAAAAAGTATTTCTTATTATTAATTCAACAATATAAGTATTTAAAGCTACTCTATTTTCAATAAGCTTTGCTTTAGCTGGTCAGTGAAATTGTGTTTTCATTACTGCAATTAAAATTTTGATTTACTTTTAAAGTTAGAAGAGATGTTCTATTATTTGATACTCTATCATTTGATATAATGTTTTCATTGTATTGAATATCATTCAGAGAATACCATTTTTATTTCTATTTTGGAAAATCTATCAGTATTTTAAATAAATATGTACTCAGTTTTAGTAAATGTTTCATAGATTGCTTAAAAAATATTTTCTCTTATATCAGGATTTATATATTTGACAGAGATGACTATTTGTCCATTATTCCCTTCTGTAATATAACTTTTTGATGGGCCTATGACCTCTTAGAATAAAGATACTATATTTAGCCTAAATGCAGTAATATGATACACTTCTGGTCAGTGGGATATAAGCATGTCATCTTTCAATTTCTAGGAATTTCTTAAGAGATATATATGAGACATTCTTGGCCTGCTTCCCTCAGTCTTCCCATTCTACAATTTGGAATATGAATGATTGCTGGAACTCTATCTTATATCATAAGAATGAATATCACTCCTTTATGACAGAGGAGTACAAAACTAGAGGAATGTGGGTCTCTAAAGACTTTGTAAAACAAATCATATTGCAGGCCTGGATTGCCAACTAGATAGATTTTGTTTTGTTTAAAACACTATTATTTTAGGTTTTCTGTTAACTACACAAACTTAATTCCAAGTAAAGTATTGTACTCTGTTTTTCTATATCTGTATTTTTAGTATGTTGATATGTTATCATGATAGACATCACTACCGTTAATCATTTTAAAATTTATGGTAATTTTTATTGGGTATCTGTACAGATCTCCTTCTATTTCCTTTGCATATCCTGGTATCCTGTTTCCTAGTGCCCTCACCATCTCTCAATATTATCATTTTTGGTTTGCTTAATATTCTATATTAGTTTGAACGTGGTTTATTGGATTCCTCACCCATAAGAAAGAATAGGAAGTGTTTGCTCAGAGAAAGTGCCTTGACTTTGAAGCAGTTAGATGACTTTATCTGTCATGGTGCTCTGAATGAACTGTGATAAATCAAGGGCAGGTCTTAGAAGGGATTGTATTCACCATGTTTTAAAGACCTAGAAGAATAGTTTTGGATGAGTTGCTTTATGACTTTGCAGTAAAACATGTGCCACTCATGACCTATGAATATTTTAGTTTCTTCATAGAGCAATTACATTCAACTAAGGCCTTCATTTTTACCTCATCACATCACTTTTAAAGTTTTACAAGTATTTTCTTCATTTGTAGTCAACCTCTATTGAAGTCTGTTGGCTAGGAATCAGAATTGTGCCAATGTCTAGTGAGAGGAACAAATAGCTAAACTTATAAATCCCTCACTAATCTTACTTTTCAATGGTTAAAGTAATTGACTCTGAGCACTAGTATTGTTAGCCAGTTCTAGGGAAAAATCCATCTTTCCAACTCACCCTCTAGGTAAAATTATTGCACTGTAGATAGGACTCTGCCTTTGAAAGAAATTAAAAGCTATCATTACAAACAATAATAGCTTTCTGCAGATTCTAATTAAAAGATAATTTCACACTTTTCCTTTACTTGATTATAAAAGAATGAAAGAGTAGATAATTTTTATATTTAAATATTATTATCTACAGTTTTGCATATCCACTCCAAGAGCCAATTTCCTATGGCTGCTGTAAGAGATCACCACAAGTTGAGTATCTTAGAACCACAGAAATGTGTTCTCTCATAGTGTTGGAGGACAGACTTCAGGATCAATGTGTAAGCACGATTAGTTCCTCCTGGAGTTTCTCAGGGAATGCCTCCTCTATGTCTCTTTTCCTAGCTTCTGGCGGCCTGCAATCCTTCGCATTTCTTTGTTGGTAGCAGCATAACTCTAATCTACTCCCATCTTCGCATGATTTTCCCCTCTGTGTGTCTTTATGCACAAGTTTCCCTCTTGCTTTCTCTTACAAGGACCTCTACATCAGGGTGATCTCATCTTGAGATCCTTAACTTACTAATATCTGCAAGGATACTTTTCTCAAACAAGATCACATTCACAGGTTTTGGAGGTTAGGACATGGACATCTTTTTTTGTGGTGGGGGTGGGGGTGTGAAGTATGCACTATTCAACCAACTACAAAGTCTATTATTTACTTAGGTAAATGTGATTCATTTTCACATTCAGAAGCCATAGAAGATGTCCCAGGACCTGAACAGGATGTCTCTCCTATGCAACCAAAGGAAGAGGTAAAGTTGGAGCACTCATAGTAGGGGAGGAGATAGTCTCTGAAGACAGATTTCATGCTGTGTGTTACTGATGCATATGTCTGTCTCCTTAGAATATTGCTACTTTATCACACGGTGTGAATATAGGAATTATATTTCACAGAAAGAAATTGTTTTACACAAAATCATTATTTTCACTCTAGGATTTCAGTGTAACATAATGCTTTCAAAAATAGCTGTTGATTAAAAACAGGTAAGGGTACACTTGGGCAAAATAAGCATGCAAGGTCTGAATGATTTACCATCTAAGGTGTTAATGGATTTTGTTGAAAAACTTACTGAACTACTGCTGATGGTTATTTATGAAAATTTACTGAGAACTGGGAAATGATAGGATGGAATGCCAACATTGTATCAATTTTCCAGAATAGAAAGAACCGCTATCATGGTAATTATGGTTCAGTGAATGTAACTTAAATCCTTTAGTAACGGAACAACTATTAAAAAAAGAACCTGTAAAAGCCTCTCAAAGGTAACAAAATCATGAACAGTGAATAGAATTGGTTTATAAAGAAAAAAATTGTGACAAATGGAGTTTAACAGCTTTTTGATAGGATTACCAAATTAATAGACTATGGAAAGGAAGTGATTGTAATATATTTTTATTTTATTATATGTTATAGTCTCTAGTGAAATTTACATCAATTCAAATTTTCTGGAAAATGAATAGTACCTTGTGGTTTGAAAACTACTTAAGGTCTCAAACAATAAAAAATCAACTGCAAAATCTCTAGTTTGAAGACGAGTAAGCTATTCTGATCCATTTAGATTTAAAGTAAAGCTGAATTTTAATAACCCATTTGAGATCTCAAAGAGACAATTTTGTTGCTAGAAACTTTTATCAGTTTAGAAGAATGAAAAACATAACACATTAATGCATGCCAGTGAGACTAGCACACTGCGGCCATTTTCTCTTACTTAAAAAAAATAAGAAGTAGGAAGGCGATAGAATTTGAAGGTGAACAATCTAGCAGCTAAAATGAAGAAAAATAATTTCAACCTGGGCTTTAATTTAGTTGTGGATGCTATATTTTACTTTAGAAGGCTCTCTGCTGTTTTGTATCCCCTATTTTTTTTAAAGAGAATTTTTTTATAAAGACGTTTTTTAGTTTTAGGGTATACAGCAGATCCTTGAGTAATGTTTTGTTCAAGGTCATTTCATTATAACATTAATAAGGGGGAAAAAACACGATTCCTGGCCAGGACCACAGTCTGCTGGAGTTTGCACTTTCCCCCCATTTCTGAGTGGGTTTTTTTCTGGGAAGTCCAGTTTTCTCCCACATCCCACAGCTGTGCCCCTTAGGTGACCTGGCATGTCTAAATGGTGCCAGTCTGAGTGAAAGTGGGTGTGTGTGAGTACGTCCTAGAGTGGGATAATGTCCTGTCCGAGGCTGGTTCCCGCCATGGCCCTGAGCTTTTGGGACAGGTTCCTGCTAACCTTAACTAGAATAAGCAGAGTGGCAGATGAATGATTTAATTAATTAATATAAACTATTTTAAAATAAAAATTCTTGAAGTATATGACACTTATACCGATGCACAACAATAAACAATATGGTATGAAGGCATTCAGTGAGCCTGCCGTATTTATTCTTGTTTGTTTTTGAACTACATGGTAGAAGAGGCTCCTTCCAATTTTTGCTTTGCAAACATTTATTCCTTGATTTAACCCACCACCACTACCATTGCCATCACTCACAGATTGAACAAAAATTTGGTGCATTCTTTCACTTGCATTTATTCTAATGTTTGATATTAAAAGTGTCTTGTGTCTTTCTTGATTTAGAAGTTTGGTGATGTTTTTGTGACCAGAAATATGCTACAGGAACTTAATTCTTGTTTATATCCATTAGCCTGTGGTAAAATTGGTTTCATCATGTTATTTTGCTTCAAGTCTCGCAAGAACCTATGCACAACATTAATTGAAGACTTAACTATATTTGATCCTGAAGTGAGATTGCCTTGAGAAGATTTGGTCCAAAAAAGAGGAAAGGGGTGGTTTTTTTTTTTTTTTTTTTTTTTTTGAGATGGAGTCTTGCTCTGTCGCCAGGCTGGAGTGCAGTGGTGCCATCTCAGCTCACTGCAACCTCCACCTCCCTGGTTCAAGTGATTCCCCTGCCTCAGCCTCCCGAGTAGCTGGGACTACAGGTGCGTGCCACCACACCTGGCTAATTTTTTGCATTTTGGTAGTGATGGGATTTCACCATGTTGGCCAGGATTGTCTCGATCTCCTGACCTCGTGATCCACCTGCCTTGGCCTCCCAAAGTGCTGGGATGGAAAGAGGTTTTTAAGTTTGGAAGGATATGACTTACTTTGGTGGGACTTAGACGGTTGTATCAGGGGGAAGATGAAATAGAATCAGAAAGGTAAAGAATTTCAATTGAGAAAAAGTTCATCCACAGCATTGCATGTAAGATAGTGTAGCATTAAGCATAATATCCACCAAGTATTTCAAAAGACATAAAATTAAGGGATGCATTAAATGAAAAAATGTGAAACTGTATATTATAGCATTTGCTCAACTATGTAAAAATATTCATAAAAAGTGAAAGAGATATGTTAAAATTATAACAATCATTATTATTGCATGTTAGGATTATAAGTGACCATTATATTCTTTTTTATGATGAGTTTTCCAAATTTCTACAATGAAAATGCAATCAGCATTAATCAACCCCCTGAACAAATAAAATGTTTATACACACCACTAGAAATTCCCTGGGATAGAACATGAAGTTGGAGTTAAGAATGAGTAATGTTTAAGTATTTATTATGTGACAAAAATGTGATAGGGCTTTATGTATGTTATTTCCTTTAGTCTTAGAACAACCATTTGAGATAGATGTCAGCTCTAATGATTGCTTCACAATATGGCTTTGGGTTTGGGATAACATATTGCTCAAAAGATGCCAAATGAATAAATCAGATATTGTTTAGAAAAGAGAATGATTAAAGAGCTTCAGGTATTGATTTATGATGCAAGACAGAGTGTATACACAGTTCTGTCAGGCATAAATGTGGTCAAGAGGAGACAAAGTAGGAGCATAAAATGGCAAAATTATTTAGAGTATAGATTGGGTAAAATTAGTGGAAGAAATTGAATTATCATGTGATAGTGGAGCATATCTAGGTTGTCGTCAGAATCTAATGAGGAGCCTGTAGTTTGAAAACAATTATTTAGTATTTAAAAATTAATACTCGGGGCCAGGCATGGTGGCTCATGCCTGTAATCCCAGCAGTTTGGGAGGCCAAGACAGTTGGATCACCTGAGGTCAGGAGTTCAAGACCAGCCTAGCCAACATGGTGAAATGCCTTCTCTATAAAAACACAAAAATTAGCTGGGTGTGATGGTACATACCTGTAATCCCAGCTACTTGGGAGGCTGAGACAGGTGAATCACTTAAACCTGGGAGGCAGAAGTTGCAGTGAGCTGAGATCATGCCACTGCACTCCAACCTGGGCAACAGGGTGAGACTTCTTCTCAAAATAAACAAATAAATAAATAAATATTAATACTTGTTAACAAAGCTCTTGTTTTGTAATAGCAAGATAAACTGGACAAATCCTAAGAACAAGTAAGAAGGTGCAGAAGACAGAGTAATTTCCACTGGGGCACCAGTTAAAAGAGACAACCATATGAATAGATCTTCCATTAGAAGACAAGCTGACAGGCACCATTATAAGTGATGCATCAGACTGACCACACCTAAGCCTACCTATCAGACTTAAGATCACAAAAAGAGGGAACTAGAAATTTGGTGGTCCTGGATGGGATGCAATGGGTAACATACTAAATCACCTATAAAGTGTTCTTGTCCAAAAAATCGAATCTTGGAATATTAAACCTAGATCTAATCATGCTTCTAGATTTAACTTTCAGATACAAACAATATGGGGGACAGAGAAACGGGAAGGAAAATCAGAAAAATAAAGAAAATAGAAACGTCTAGAAAATAAAGATTCAGTTTCCTTAAAATAGTAACTATAAGAAAAGAAAACAGAAAAGGAACAAAAGGGACATACAGAGTAAAAGACAAGAGGGAGGCTGGGGGTGGTGGCTCAAGACCGTAATCCCAGCACTTTGGAAGGCCTAGGTGGATGGATCACAAGGTCAAGAGATCAAGACCATCCTGGGCAACATGGTGAAACCCCATCTCTACTAAAAATACAAAAATTAGTTGGGTGTGGTGATGCGTGCCTGTAGTTCCAGCTACTCGGGAGGCTGAAGAAGGAGAATTATTTGAACCCGGGAGGTGGAGGTTGCAGTGAGCCAAGATCGTGCCACTGCACTCCAGCCTGGTGACAGAGTGAGACTCCATCTCAAAAAAAAGAAGAAAAGACAAGAGGTAAAACTCCAATTGCTGGTGAGAATGTGAAGCAACAGGAACTCCCCCTCCCCTCCCCTCCCCTCCCTTCCCTTCCCCTACACTCCCCTCCCGTCCCATCCCTTCCCCTCCCCTCCCCTTCCCTCCCTTCCTTCCTGCCTTCCTGCCTTTATTCCTTCCTTCTTTCCCTCCTTTCTTCCTTTTCTTTTCTTAAATTGACTTAAAAATTAAATATACTTACCATGTAAAACATAATGTTTTGAAATATGTGTACATTATGGAATGACTAAATCAAGCTAATTAACCTATATGTCATCTCACATACACTTATCTCTTGTGATAATGTATTAGTCTGCTTGTGTTACTATGAAGTAATACCTAAGACTAGGTAACTTATGAAGAAAAAAGGTTTAATTGGCTCGCAGTTCTGCAGGCTGTATGGGAACTTTGGCGCCGGCATGCGCGTCTAGTCAGGACCGCAGGAAAGTTTTACTCATGGTGGAAGGTGAAGGGGGAGCTGATTTGTCACATGGTGAGAGCAGGAGCAAGAGAGAGAAGGGGAGATCCCAAACTTTTTTTACAACCAGGTCTTAAGTGAATTAACTGAGCCTGAACTCACTTATCATCAAGAAGATGGTGCTAAGCCATTTGTGAGAGATCCACCCGCATGATTCAATCACCCTTTACCAGGCCCCACCTCTAACACTGGGAATCACACTGAAGTGAGATTTGGATGGGACAAATATCCAAATCATATCAAGTGAGAACACTTAAAACTTACTCTCAGCAATTTTCAAGAATATAGTACATTGTTATTGATTGTGAATAGACCTCTCATTCTTCCTACTTGAATTTTTTTATCCTTTTAACAGGATCTCCCCACCCCACCCTACCCCCTAGTTCCTAGTAATTACCATTCTACTCACTATTTCTATGAGTTCAACTTTTTTAAATTCCACATATAAATGAGATCTTTCAGTATTTGTCTTTCTGTGCCTGGCTTATTCCACTGAATGTAACTGGTGAATTTCAAACTGTTATTACACATGCACTTTGAAAGACAGTTCATCACTTTCTTACAAAGCTAAAAAAAAGTCTTCATATATGATGCAGTGATTGTGCTCCTTGGTATTTACCCAACTTATTTGAAAACTTATGTGCACATATAAACCTGCAAACAATGCTTATAACAGTGTTACTCATAAATCATCCCAAACTGAAAGATGTACTTAAATAAGTGAATGCATAACAAAACTGTGGTACATCCATACAATATTGTTCAGTGATAAAGACAAATGAGCTCTTAAGCCATGAAATGACATGAACAAATCTCTTCTGTTTCTAATATGTGATGCTTTATTTTTAGGTTTATTTTTCCTGAATTTTCAAAATTAAATTTTATTTTTTAAAAATATTTTATTTTTGAAATTTGTGGGTACATAGTAGGTGTATATATTTATGGGATACATGAAATGTTTTGATACAGGCATGCAATGCATAATAATGGCATCATCAACAATGGGAGTAGCCATTCCCTCAAGCATTTATCCTTTGTGTTACAAATAATTCAATTATATTTATTTTAAAATGTACAATTAAGTTGTACATTTATTATTGTATCAGTGAATTGTTTCATATATTTATAATGCAGTTATACTTTTTGCCAAGTTCTGCAAATGTACAAAGTTGCACATTTGATTATTGATTATAGTCACCCTGTTGTGCAACCATATAGATGATCTTATTCTTCCTGTTTTTTTGTATCCATTAACCATCCCCACCTCCCCTCCATCACTCTACTACCCTTCCCAGACTCTAGTAACCATCTTTCTACTCTCTATGTCCATGAGTTTAATTATTTTGATTTTTAGATCCCACAGATAAGTGAGAACATGCGATGCTTGCCTTTCTGTGCCTGGCTTATTTAACTTAACATAATGATCTCCAGTTCCATCCATATTCTTGCAAATGACTGGATCTCATTCTTTTTTATGACTGAATAGCACTTAATTGTGTATATGTACCACATTTTCTTTATCCATGCACCTGTGGATGGACCCTGAGGTTGCTTCCAATTCTTGGCTATTGTGAACAGTGATGCAACAAACATAGGCTGCACATGTCTCTTCAATATACAAATTTCTTTTCTTTGGGGTATAAGCCAAGCAGTGGAATTGCGGGATCATATGGCTGTTCAATTTTTAAATTTTTGAGGAACTTCTAAACTGTTCTCCACAGTGGTTGGACTAACTTACATCCCCACCAACAGTATATGAGGGTTCCTTTTTCTCTACATCCTTGCCAGCATTGGTTATTGCCTGTTTTTTGTTTGTTTGTTTGTTTTTGTTTTTTCAGATATAAGCCATTTTAACTGGGGTGAGATGCAATCTCATTGTAGTTTTGATTTGCATTTCTTTGATGATGAGTGATGTTGAGCACGTTTTCATATGCCTGCTCTCTATTTGTATGTCTTGTTTTGAGAAATATCTATTCAGAGCTTTTGCCCATTTTTTATTAATTTATTAGATTTTTTTCCTATATGGTTGTTTGAGCTCCTTATATATTCTGGTGATTAATCTCTCATCAGATGGGTAGTTTGCAAATATTTTCCATGGGCAAATATTAGATTCACATTTCTAAGTGAAAGAAGGCCGCCTGAAAAGGTTACATGCTATGTGATTCCACTTATATAACATCTGGAAAAGAAAAAACTATAGAGACATTAAAAAGATCAGGACTTGTAGAAAATTTGGGAAGGAAGGAGGGTTGAATTGGTGATACAGGATTTTTTTTTAGGTTTATTAAACTATTCTGTGTACTATAATTGTTGATATATTGTAGTATGCATTTGTCAAAACCCATTGAACTTCACAGCACAAAGAATAAAGCTTAATGTATGCAAATTTAAAAAAATAACTTAGGAAGCTGGTGGAAGCCCATGATAAAATGCAGAATTTGGCAAAAAGTATAACTGCATTATAAGTATATGAAACAGCTCACTGAAGGATTTGTGGAAAAGGTGCTGATTAAGTAACTTTGGAACTGAGTAGGGTCTATCAAAACAAAGCAAAATAAACTGTGCATAAATACTATATGCCGGTTGATAAAGTTGTTTTCCATAGAGATATGAGTTAACATATCTAATTTTATTATATATGTATCCTGGAATTGAACAATTAAATGGATGGCAGATGGTGTGAGCCAGGTTTGTCACTGTTGCAGTGGGAGTTTACAGATGAGAAAGGGGAGGTGCCTAGAATGACTCATGTGGTAATAAATTTGAGTTAGAGACATCAGTATAAATTTATGTTTGGCTTAATATAGATATGGATGGTTACATATAAATATGTTTATAGATACGTGAATTCAGAGTGTTTAATATATGCATATATGTTTCTTTGCTCTGTCAGCTAAGAAGGCATAAAAGAAATGACACCCAGTAGCTTAGTTTTTAATACCATTCTCCAATAAAGGAACAAGAAATACTTGGAGAAATCGTGTATTTTCTGTGGCAGAAAATACGCAAGATGAGGATGGAGTATCTTGTTGTGCTAGAAAGTAAGGAAATACTCAAAAACAAAATAAAACGCAGCGATGAAGGTATGTATCAAAGGGGCACAGAAGCCTACTGAAAGAGCTCCCAAGGGCTACAGCTGAAACACTTAGAAAAGCAAAATGAAGTCGTATTGGATTGCAAATACAAAACAGATAGAGTATACTGGATTATAACCCAAAGTATAAAATAAATATAAGTCCACGCTGTTAAAAGTAAATAATGGAATGAATACATAAATGGGAGAGTAATGACACATTTTCCATGCAAAGAATTCCAAATAAGCTTTGTGGATCCTCTGCATTCAAGAAGATAAAGCATGATTATCCAATTTTTAAGAAGGGAAAGTGTGATTATCCACTCCTTAAGTCTGGGCTGTACATGGCGATTTCCTTCCAAAAGGCGAAGTATGGAATAAGAGGAAAAAAATAACATTATAATGGAGAAAGCTGACAAACACAACATCAGCAAGGAGATCAAGGTTAACATTAATAGTGATAAGCTGTATAGATATGTACCTTTGATATGACATGATAAAAATGACACCTTTCATCACTCATCTCTGTGATTTTCCCCTAAATATCCACACTAAGGATATTTAAATAAATACAAACTCTAGCTAATAATAAAATATCAATATTGGTTCATTAATGATAACAAGTGTACCATACAAATGTAAGATGTTTGTCTTTCCTTTGACTTGTGAAACTGGATCTAGGGCTATCATTCCTTCCTTCCTGTATGTCTCTGAGTGTTACCTTCCTTCAATGGGTCATGACATTTTTATCCAATTTGGAAGCTTCAGTCTCCCTCCAACAGAAAGACATACAAGTCTCAGTATCCCCTGAGAAAGAAATCCATTTTTTACTGGACCTTTTGGCTCCCCAAAGTCAGCAACCATCCCCTGTCCCAGAGAAAATACTAAATAAAGTGACAAAGTCTGTATGGGACGCTAGTACTCCGGAAAGGCCATCAGTACAAAGCCTGTTAAAATAAAACTCAAGCCAGCCATATACTACCCATGCAAACTCCAATATCCTTGCAGGCCAGAAGCCCAACAGAGGATATGGCCCTTCCTGGAAACATTTCTATAGCATGAGCTAATTCAGCCCTGCCAATCCCCCTGTAATACTCCAATCCTACCTGGGGAATACCGATTTGTTGAAGACCTTTAGGCAGTAAATGACTCATTTGTTCCCATTCATCCTATAATCCCCAACCCGTACACACTCCACTCCCAAATACCTGGGTTGACTAAATTTTATAACATGCTGTATTGAAAGGATGCTTTTTTTGATAAACTGTTACATACTGATTCCACCTACATTTTGCCTTAAGTACTAGTCATGCTATCACTATATTATCTTTTATTTATGGCCTGATCCACTAAATAAATACTACAGAGCAAGTAGAGGTTAACATTCAGGCAATGTAGTTATACTCTTTTGGTAAAGAGGACGCAAGAACTGACTCAGTGTGGAATGCTGTCAAATCAGCCTTACCCTTTATAACTTGGTTCCTTCCTTTCTTAGGACCTGTATTAGCTGTCTTTCTTCTTTTAATCTTTGAACCATGCTTGTTTAACTTTCTGGTAAAATTTATGTCTTCTAGACTAAAACAGTTTTATGCCAAGTGAATGGTCATGCAAGGCTTCCAGCCTGTTCCAGAAACCACATCCAAGAGCGATATAGCCCATTCCACTAAGCCACAAGAAATTTCTACTCAACCTAGGAACAGATATAGGGACTATGTCCTTGCTCAGCAGAAAGTAGCTCCAGAAGAAAAGACCTTCACTCCTTAACAGTAAGGAGCATAAAATCTCTCAAGCGGGGAATGAGACAGGCAAGTTTGCTGATTTCCTGTTTGAATATGGTCTGGAGAAAAAGAACAAAAGCCCCTTACTCAAGCTGTAGCTTATTTAATCTCCAGATAATCAGCATCAAAGGCCCAAGAAGCTATATTTTAAAATTTTTATTTATTTATTTATTTATTTTGGAGACGGAGTCCCACTCTGTCACCCAGGCTGGAGTGCAATGGCACGATCTCTGCTCACTGCCACCTCCGGCTCCCGGGTTCAAGCGATTCATCTGCCTCAGCCTCCTGAGTAGCTGGGATTATAGGTGCCTGCCATCACGCCCAGTTTTTTTTTTTTTTTTTTTTTGTATTTTTATTAGAGACAGGGTTTCACCATGTTGGCCAGGCTGGTTTCGAACTCCTGACCTCAAGTGATCCGCTGGCCTGGGCCTCCCAAAGTGCTAGGATTACAGGCATGAGCCACTGTGCCTGGCCCCAAGAAACTATTAACCACATGTATCTGCTTTAGGGGGCTAGTGACTTCCATGAGGCCCTGTATGTGCAGCTAGGCTTAAGTTTCAACTCATAGTGAACTTTTCCTTATTTTAATAATAAAAACCACGCCCAAGTATAGAAATTTAAAATGCTAATGTTACATGCGGTGTATGTTGAAGCATGTAAAGCCACTATATAAATTCTAGAGAAACCCCTTCTATACATGCCCTGACATGATCCCTTCCTATAGGAAAGTTTTATGAAAGTAACCCACACTGGCCTCTGAGAGGAGTTCACATTTTTCCTTTCCTGTTGCTGACGTCTCTTGTGCACAAGCTAAATGAATCTTTCTCTTTTTCTTTGCTGCTATGTCTGGAGACCTTTCCTGATTTCTGTTCTGGGAGATTGCAAGAACCCAGGGTGCCAATAGCAGATTGGCCATGTGTTAATAATTGTTGAAAGTAGGTAATGGGTATTGGTAGCTTACTATATATTCTCTCTACTTCTGTATATATTTTAAATGTTTTAAAAAACCAAAACAAGTTTTTTATTTTTTAAGTTTGAGAGACAATATATGGAAGAAAATGAAAGAATTACTAGGTATAAGTTAAAAGCCACTGTTGTGAGTTGCAAGGAATGTAGTGCAAATACATTCTGAATTTTACTCTTAAGTTTATCCAGTGTTGAGGAAGCTTATGTCCTAAATGGTTTTAGATGTCTAGAAACAAGTGTATTTCTCACATTTAGAATAATTTATGAGGGCAAAGGGAAGTTCAGTCTCTGGAAAATGTTTGATTTCACTACTTATAAACCACTGCATTGAAAATATTTTTGTCCCATAATCATCCATAGTACTGGTCTCCCAACCAATTTATAATCCACTGAATAAGTTCATGGAAAGGGATGCAAAAAGAGTTTTTGTTTATAAATGAGCCTTAAAGCCTTTCTTTAAAAACAGACATCAATTATTTTTGGTTTCTATTAATGTTCTCTTTCTTATTCACCAATACTTAGATATGTTTATGTACATATCTGTCTGTGTGTGGAATAAAAATCTCTTTCTCTGAAAATTTTCTCTGTGCTAGGCAATCACTTCAATTATTCCTTCATACAATTTTTAAAAGATGACAGTAAATGCTGCTTAAATTCTAAGTAAATCTATAGAAACCTCTAGTGTTGTGAAAATGGTTTGGTCTTAATTTGGTAGTGTGTGACTTGCTTTAGGAAAATGTGTTATGACCTGTTCTGACTAGTTCATATTTATTTCTTCTTTCCCCTTTTTTTCTGCACCTCTCTGTGTTTTGCAAGAGTATTAGAGAAAATATGGCCACAGTGAGAGTAAAGGTTTAATTTTTGGCAAACTACGAATAATCATGATGTCAGCCAGATGATCCCAAGTTTTGTACTCAAATAATTTGCTTTAAAGTAGATATTTTACTACTTTACTGTTGAGAGAAAGTAAGTTTATTAATTGAAAAGTACTCAACTACATTTACTAATTTATTAAAAACACACACTGTATGCTGTATAGTCCTGCAAATATTAAGGACTTAATTCTCTGTCTCACTCACTGGCTTGCTATAGTTGTCTCTCTGTCACTGGAGATATTTACTCCCTGTGTTGGAAGTGATTTTCCCACAGTCACACTGTTAATTAGTAGCAAAAGCAATCTAAAAATCCACTCATCTTTCCACAAAATCTCCAATGTCTCTGTTGAGTTTTGAACATCTTTATTGCACCCTCTTTGCATGATCCCTTTAGAGAATAAGTAACATAAAGAAAATTGTTTTTCTACTTCAAATGAGTAATTATATATGTTTTTGCATGTGGATGATATTATGTATATGTGTATGCGTATGTGTGTATTTGCTTTGCCAAAATATGACAGGGGAAGCAGATGAAAAATGCTATAAATGAACAAACCCTGGACTCTGAGTAAATTGTCAAGTTTACTTACACAGAGTCTATTACGTGTAATATTCATTTAACCATTGGCTAATATCGCTGTCAGTAAGTGATCAAAAAATGTGCCTATTTGTGGTTAGAGTTGTTTTTTTCCGCCTTAATGAACATCAAAATGTCTTCATTAATTTGTTATGTAACACCATGATCTATTGCCTGTAGGACAAAATCCTAAATGCTGGCATTCAATCCTCTCTTGGTCTCCATTTTCAGTATCATCTCATACTATTCCTCACCATAAACCATGTTTACTATTTCTTAAACATGTCCTAGCATTTTATTTCTCTGTTTATGTCACTTCTAGAACTATCTCACTCCATACTCGCTTCCTTCACTGGTAATTCTCATCCTAGCTACCCTTAATGTGTGCAAACTCCATGAAGCTTTCTCTGCCCTCACAAACTTCCCATGATTTCTTCCTTTTTTTGAATCCCTGTAGGAATAGCTCCTATTAATAAATGTGCAGCTTTTGTGACTTTTGGCAAAATGTGGACAAGGACTGAAGATTATATATTTCTGTATATAAAAGCCCAAAGTAGAAGCAATGTAAATGTTAGTGAATCTAGTAAACAATGGGTAACTTTCCCAACACACAGTGGTGCATCCTAAACCCCTCAGTCGTTAGTGGATGACAAGAAGGAAGAGGCAAAATCGCCAGCCTAGAGCAGTGGTTCTTAAAAGCCTATGGACCATGGATCAGCTAAAGGGGCTGTGTCATAATCACTTTGAGGACTTAAATAATTCAGAGCACTGTCGCAGAGGACTTGATGCTGGTTTGTGGATGTGTCCCACAATTTGCAAATGTAGTCAAAAGAGCACTGAGGTGGTCATTTGCATTCATAAAAAGTTGTTATTTTCTGGCTTTAGGCAAGGGTTTCCAACCATAGCTGCACATTACAAACACCTGGGATGCTTTCAAATTCAGTGCATGCCAGGCCTCATCTCTAGAGATGTTCATATAATTAGTCTAGACTAGGCCCTGGTATCTGCATTCCTAAATGCTCCCAGAGTGATTCTAGTGTACAGCCAAGATTGAGAACTACTGTATAGACATCATTTTAAATTCAATCCATGGAAATTATTGGAAATGTCTCTCTCTGGCCTGTAATTCAAGTCATTTCCTTTGCCTTCTCTTACCCCACTCCACCTCCCACCCAAGCCAGGACATACTTTCTTTTTGCTGGAGTGAATTTTTTCCCACTTAGTTTTTATGAGTTTGTCTTTTATGCAAATGCCTGTTGGAATGAGTTCACCTGGGAAGGCCTCCGGGCGGGTGGGGGGTGGATAATGGGTGGTGAGGTGTTTACAGCATGATTCATTCCACCATCCTATTTATCTTCTCAATGAGCAAAGTGGCTTACAAAGTCTTTAAAACTGCTTTATGTTACCAAAATAACTAACTCCCTGGGCTTACCTAATAGTGGGAATTAAGTCTTTGAGCATGTCTAAAATAGGTCACCATGAAAGGTAGTTTTAAGAACTAAAAGGAAAAAAATAAATACTTATGAATCATGTTGCCTGTTTCCTGGCAACCCAAGCTCACTTGTTCTCTTAATCCACAACTGCCCTTATTTCAGCAGAGACCCATGTGCTTTCTTTCCTAGTAATTGATCACTTTTTCCAGAATTGAGAGTTGTCCTTGGAAGTGATTCAATGCTAGGTCAAAAGCAGGAACAAACGCTTACATTTTAATCATTCTGTCATCAATTTGAGACCTGAGTTTGAGGCATAATTTATTCTCTCAAAATAAAAGAAAACAAAGTATCTATTTTTTTTTTTAAAGTGAACCAAGCACCTGAAGGGCACTGTTGTCTCCTTACAGATATGCACAGGTGACAAACACAGGTCCACTCATCTCTAGAATATCATAGATACATGAGTTTTTAACTTCAGACAATTGCAGTTGAAAAAAAAGAAATAAAGAGGAAATTCTATGCTTTGACCTTCAATTAATTGGGTCCTCAAGGAACCAAAGGCTGAGCCTACAAGTTTTAGAAGCAAAATAAAGTATGTCTCAGAATACAAAGGTGTAAGGATGCATACTACCCCCTTTCGTGGGAGATTATAATGCAGCTTGTGGTTTGTCTCTTTAAATTGGCCTCTGTCTAGGGTTGCATTTGTATTCTTATTGCAGGGGCTTTTGATGTGAGGTTTATGGATATAACCAATGGGGTGTTGATGATGAACTTGCTTGTAGAGCTCCAGCCTTTCAGCCCCAATTGTCTGGTTGTTATTGCAGTGATGTTCTTGAAGGAAGCAATGCCCTTTAGTTATTGCAGCACAAAACGAGTCCCAGAAAATGTCTGTCTTATTTCAAGGATATGTTTTTAAACTTTAAAGTGTTGTCTATGAGTTGCTGAGTGCAAAAATAGCCAAAGAGCAGTGTGGTGGACAGCCACTAGGACTACTTCCCATTACCCCAAGCTTTTAGTGTACATACCCTTATGTGATCCCCATCCCTTGAGCGTAGGCAGGAACTGTAGTTTTCTTCTAAACTAAAACAATAGCATATGACAAAGGTGATGAGTATCACTCCCCTGGTTGGTTTATGTTACATAGCAAAGATGATGAGCTGTTACTCCCATTTAACTCATGTTGCATAAGATTCCACCTAAGCAGACTGAAACTCTTTGTAGGGTTCATGAATTCAGTAGTGATGTTGGAAAACCTCATGTGTCCAGGAATTGCAGGGGGCCTCTACCAACTATTTGTGGCCTCTAGGAGTTGAGGATAGTCTCCAGCTGAAGAGCCAACAAAAAGCTTGAGCCCATCAGTCATACAACCACAATTAATCTGCCAACAAACTGAAAAAAACTTAGAAGCTGATGCTTCCCCAGTCAAGTCTTCAGATGAGAATACAGCTCACCTGAGTTATTGATTGTAGCCTTGTGAGACCAAAAGCAGAAGGCTGAGTTAAGCCACATCTAGACTTCTGACTTCCACAAACTGTGAGAAAATAAATGTATTTTGTTTAAAGCCACTGATTTTGTGGTAATTTGTTATGTAGCAATAGAAGACTAATATAAGCAGAGACCTCCTGAAGGCTTTTAAACGAAAAAATTTGCCTAGCTGGCATTTGCTTATCTGAACCAGGTAATTAAGAAAAATAGCAATTTAAATCTGCAACAATATATGATGCTCTGACTTGACAGTGGAGTCTAATAAAAAGGAGAACTTTCACTCATTCCTACCAGAAACCAAAGGTTGGGGTAGGGGGACAGTGTGGAAATAAACTTTTCTGTTATATTCTTACCTGCTCTCACTATAACACTTTGACATTATGCTATCTTTTTGCTATTTGTTCTCATAAATTTTCATCATAGAGAAGAGAGAGTAATTTTCATTTCTCATCAATGAAAGTATTGTTTCCCATCTGCATTTCTCAAGGATCACTTTAGAAAAGTAACAAAGGGTTTTATTACAGAAGCTGGGCTTCTGGGGCTTGATAATTTGTCCATCTTTTTATTCACTGTTCAGTTGTTAGAGCTCAAGGAAGGTGCCTCCATCTTTATAGTAGGACAATGATATAATATAATCCAAATCAGTGGATAGAAAAAAGGGTGCATCCCACATGATGTGGAATTCAATTAAGCGCATTGGTTGGTAAAGAAGAAGCTCTATATTATTTCATACATATAGTCCAGCTGTTAGAAAGACATTATTCATTGCTTTCTCTGTCCAATAATATTTTTCCGTTTCACCGCTCTTAAAAAGTAATGTAATTGTTTCTTTATATATTTACTAGGATACTACTAATTTTATTTTCTATTATCATCTGGGAAGTATCTATATAAAAGCTAACAAAAATACTTGAAAGTGTCCATTGATATCAAGGCAGGAAAAAATGTAATTTCATCAAGAGTTCTATTTGGATCAGGATCTAGGTTGATTTTTTTACCAACTGCATAGAAGCACTTATAGCCTTTCACAGGGCTGCTTTCCTTTTACACAAAATGAGTAACCTTGAAATTTAAATATTCTTCTACCAGATGGCCATTGGTCCTCAGTCATAGCCTAAATAATTGTTTCAAAAATAATAAAATAACATATTTTTTAAAATTGACAATGATATACATTACTAGCACATACATGTAAGTGGTATGTGAGAGAATGAGTGTGTGAAGATTTATCTATCTACACACACACATACACACACACACACACACACCTTTGGGGACTCAATTTTATTCCATTGATCTATACCTCTCTCCTTATCCCAGTACTACTGCTCTATGGAGTACTGTAGCTTTGTAGTAAGTTTTGAAATTGGGAAGAGTGACTCCTTGTTTTTTTTCTTTTTCAAGATTGTTTTGGCTATTTTGGGTCCATTGCATTTCAAAATGAATTTTAGGATCAGCTAGTGAGTTTCATCCAAAAATGAAGTTGGAATTTTATTAGTGACTGCATTAAATCTGTAGATCAGTGTTGGGCATATTGCTATTTTAACAATATTAAGTCTCCTAAGTCATGAAAACACTTATTTACATATTCATTTATTTCCCTTCAGCAGTACTTGCAGTTTTCAGTGTATACATCCTGTACTTTTCTTGATAAGTGTACTTCTACTTTGTTCTTTCTAATGCTATTGTACATGAAAATATCTTCTTAATTTAATTTTAAGATTATTAGTTGCTAGTGTTTAGAAATACAATTCAGTTTTTTTCTATTTCGTGAAAACATTGCTTTTTACAATTGAATTTTGAATATGCATCTTGTATTTTTTAACTTGCTAAATTTGGTCAATAATTCTAAAAATTTTTTGGTGGATTCCTCAGGATTTTGTGTATATAAGTTTGTGCCATTTGCAAATACAGATAATTTTCTTTTTTCCTTTCTAATATGGATATCTTTTATGTCTTTTTCTTGCCTAATTTCCTGACTAGATCTTCCAGTGACAATGTTAATAGAAGTGTCGAGGAAGGACATTTATGCCTTGTTCCTGATCTTGGAGAGATCAGGGACAGAGTTTTCAGTATTTCACCATTTAGTATGGAGTCAGTTGTGTGTTTTCTTTTCGTTGTTGTTTGTTTGGTTGTTTGTTTTGAGACAGAGTCTCACTCTATCGCCCAGGCTGGAGTGCAGTGGTGTGATCTCGGTTCACTGCAAACGCTTCCTCCTGGGTTCAAGCAATTCTTCTGCCTTAGCCTCCTGAGTAGTTGGGACTACAGGCACACACCACCATGCCCGACTAATAGTTGTGTGTTTTCAGAGAAAACTTTATCATGTCCTATTTCTAGTTTTTTGAGTGCTTTTCTCATGAAAATGTGTTAGATTTCATCAAATGATTTTTCTGTGCCTTTCGAGATGTGTGTATTTGACTTTTATTAATAACATAGATTTTGTCCTATACTTTATTAATATGATGTATTATAGTAGTTGACTTTCATATGTTGACTCAACCCTGGATTTCTGAGATGAATTCCACATGGTTATGATATATATTATGTGTTTCTTGATTTAGTTTGTTTGTTGAGGATGTTTGTGTCAATATTCATGAGAAATATTGATCTGTTTTTTTTCTTTTGAAATCTTTGATGCCTCCCATCAGAGTAACAGTGGCCTCATAATATGAGTTGAAAAGTGTTTTCTTCTGGTCTAATTTTTGGCAGACTTTGTGAAGGATTTGTGCTAATTTTTCTTTAAATGTATGGTAGAATTCACCAGTGAATTTGGTACTGGACCTTTACTTGTGGGAAATTTTTGTTGTTTTTTTAATTACTAATTCAATCTCTTGTTATATGTCTATCCAGAATTTCAACTGTTAAAAATCAGTTTTAGTAGTTTGTGTATGTATAGGAATTTATCCATTTCATGTAAGCTATCTAATTGATGACATAAAAAAAGACAATTCTTCAAAATCCTTTCTTTTTCTCTAAGGTCAATAGTAATATCTCCTCTTTCATTTCTAATTTTGATTTTCTCTTGTTTTCTTGGTTATTCTAGCTAAAAGTTTTGTCAGTTCTGCTAATTTATTTAAAATATTTTGTTATGTCAGTTATCTCTAGTTTTTCTATTTCTTATTTTATTTATTTTCTCTCTAATATTTATTACTTTCTACCTCTATTTGCTTTGGGTATTAGTCTTCTTTTTCTAGTTTCATAAAGTGAAGGTATAGGTTATGGATTTCAGAACTTTCTTTTTAAATGTGGTGTTTATACTATAATTTTCTCTTATAATTTTTTATTACTATATTTTTTCTTATAATTTTCTCAAGGACTGTCTTTGTTGGATCCAAAAAGTTTTAGTACTTTGTGTTTTTGTTTTTTTTATCACAAATTTTCTGATTTTATTGTGATCTCTTTTTTGACCCCTTGCTTATTTAGGTGTGTGTTAATTTCCACATTTTCTCAAATTTTCGAAATTTTCTTCTGTTATTCACTTCTAAGTTTATTCTATTGTGGTAGGAGAGCATACTCTATATGACTTCATTCCTTTAAATAGATTGAGACTTATTTTTATTGGCTAATATATACTCTCTCCTTGAGAATGTTACATGTGTGCTTGAGAACCATGTGTATTCTGTTGCTGAGTGAACTATTCTATAGATATTTGTTAGGTCTAATTGGTTTATAGTTTTCTTAAAGTCTTCTATTTCCTTGATTATCTTTGTCTTGTTCAATATTTATCACAACTGGGTAATTGAAGTCTCTATTATTATTGAACGGTCTATTGCTGCCTCCGGTTCTGCAGTTCTGCCTATTTTTGGTACACATATTTTGGGGCTCTTTTGTTAGAGGCTTATATGTTTATATATTTATATCTTCTTCTTCTTCTTTTTTTTTTTGCTTTTTTCTGAGACAGAGTTTCACTCTTGTTGCCCAGGCTGGAGTGCAATGGCGTGATCTCGGCTCACTGCAACCTCTGCCTACCAGGTTCAAGGGATTCTCTTGTCTCAGCCTCCCGAGTAGCTGGGATTACAGGCGCATGCCACCATGCCTGGCTAATTTTTGTATTTTTAGTAGAGACAGGGTTTCATCATATTGGTCGGGCTGGTCTCGAACTCCTGACCTCAGGTGATCTGCCCGCCTCAGCCTCCCAAACTGTTGGGATTACAGGCGTGAACCACTGCGCCTGGCCATATTTATGTCTTCTTAAAGCTTTGATAGATTTAACACATTTTAAAGTGCTTTTTAATCCCTAGTAACAGGTTTTGTTTTAGAGTTGATTTGTCTAATATTTATTATACCCATTCCAGTTTACTTTTGTTACTATTTCCTGGTATATATTTTGTCATCTTTTTAATTGCAACCTATTTTTGTCTTTGAATCTAAAGTGTATCTGTCATGGATGATATATAGTTAGATCATGTTTGTTTTTATTTTTTACTCTTTTTATCATTCTGTTTACTTCAATTGTAATATTTACTACAGTTAAATGTAATGTAATTACTGATAAGGTAGGATTTACATCTTCCATTGGTTATTGTTTTCTATTTGTCACACATTCTTATTATTCTATTTCTTCATTACTATTTTATTGTGTATTAAATGGATATGTGCTAGTGTATAATTTTATTTTCATTTCTTTGACAATATTATTTTAAAAATTATTTTTATTCGTTGCTCTGAAGGTTGCAATCAACATCATAATTTATGACAACTTACTTTGAATTAATACCAACTTAATGCAATATTTTGCAATTGGATATGCCAAAACTTTACTCCTATATAACCCCATTCCCTCTTCCCCTCTTTGTGCTGTTATTGTCATGCACAAAATTACGTATTTGTGCATATAAAAGTATGTATATCAACTCAGTTTTATAATTAGTATTTTATGCAGTTGTTTTTTTAAATAATTGTTTTTAGGAGAAAAACAATTATTAAAATCCAAAATATATTTATAATTTGTTCTTTATATTTATCTTCATAATTATCTTTAATGGTTCTCTTTAATTTTTCATGTCACTGTCTAGTGTATTTTCATTTAAGCCTTAAGGACTCCCTTAGACAAGGCTTTATGGTAGCTCTGCTATAAAACAAATTTATCTCAGATTTGTTTATTGCACAGCCTCTTAATTTCACCTTTATATTTAAAGAATAGTGATACTTGATATAGAAAATTCTTAGTTGACAGTCTTTTTCTTTTTAGCTGTCTTAATGTCATTTTACTATCTTCTGATTTCTATCTATCTCCAGATTTCTATCTATCTCCATGTTTTCTGATATTAAATCATCTGTTAATCTTACTGAAAAACACTTGTACATAAAGAGATACTCTTGTGTTGTTTTCAAGATTCTCTCTTTGTCTTTATCTTTTGACAGCTTAATTATCATGTGTCTAAGTGTAGTTAGCATTGTGTTATACTACTTGGAATTTGCTGAGCTTCTTGGATGTGTAGGTTAATGTTATTCTTAAAGTTTGGTAAAAGTTTAGTCATTATTTCTTTGAACATTCTTTCCTCTTTTTCTTTCTCTTCTATTCTGGGATTCCGCAGAATGTGTATGCATACTTGTTGAACTTGATGATGTCTCATGGGTCTCTAATTATTGCTTCATTTTTCTTCATTCTGTTTTTTTCTGTTTTTAAGGCTGGATAATCTCAACTGACTTCTCTTCATTTTGCTGATTCTTTATTCTGCTTGTTCAAATCTGCTGTTGTACCCCTCTCGTGATTTTTAAAATGTTTCAGTTATTGTATTTTTTAACTTTCACTAATTTCTTGAATGACATTTGTGAGCCCTTTATTTTCAGTTTGTGACAATATCAAAACATCCCTGGTCTGTTGATATCTCAGTATTTGATTAAGTTTTCTGTTAAAAAAAGTTGAGCTAACTCAGCTAAGCTCTTTAAACTGAAATGGAACTTAGGCTTCCAATGATGTATTTACATAACAGGGAAGACAAAGTGCCAACTATAAAGAACATCTTGTCACAGAGAGTATCATCAGTGCTCTTTACTGCTTTACTCCTAAAGTGGGTAGCTCCACCTTACTCCTGTACTCCCTATTTTTTATTTATTAACTACTAACTTAAAATTAAAGCAACTTGACAACATTACATTTCTCATGCAGAATAGCGTTAAAAAAATTCTTGTTCCAGGTTAACCTATTTTTTGAAAATTTAAAATATGCAAATAAAAAAATCTATGGATAGTAAAAAAGAAATACAGTTGTAGGAAATGAAAAAAGTTAAAACTACCTCAGATTATATCACCAAGAGATGATCACTCCTAAAACTTTGTCATATATACTTTCTGATTTTTCCCATGTATATACATAAATTTATGTACAATGCATCAAAATATATTATACCCATTATTTTGTTTTTAATAGAAAATATATTCTATATGTGACATATTCTTACATTTTTAATGGTTGTGTATTATTCCATTTATATTCCTATGATTTAAAGAATCACAGCTATCAGATATATAGATGACCCACACTAATCCCAATCATTAGCAACCATTAGTAACAAATTATGGCCATAAATTAGCTTCAATATATATTTGCATATTTGAACATTTACCTTGAGAAATTTATAGAATTGAAATTGATGGATTCAATGTCTTTTATTAGACCCTTGATATGTATAACTAAATTTCTAGTATGTTCCTAGAAAATAGCATAGCAATTTATATTTTAAGCAATAGGTTGTGAATACTGATTTCCCTTTTAAACAATACTGGGTGTTCCCACTTTTTTCAGTCTTTGCCAATCTTTTGTTTTGCTTTTTTAAACAATAAGTCTTTGAAAACTAGAGCACTTCTAATTATTTTTATCCGTTGCTTTTTTTAGATGTATTTTTCTTTTTCCCCCAGTATTTTTCTATTCATTTTCCTGTAGCATTTGGGGTTATTTTTGCCTATTAATTTGCAAAACATTTTATATATTTAGGATATTTATCCTTTTTGTTTTATACATATAGTTTTTTTGGCCTTTAAGGTTGTATGTTAGTTTTGTATTCTTCAGAGAAACAGAACCAACAGGATGTATATATCGAAAGAGGTTTATTTTAAGGAATTAGCTTACATGATTAAGGAGACTGGCAATTCCAAAATCTGTAGAGAGGACTGGCAGGATAGAGATGATGTTGCAGTACAAGCGTGAAGAATATCAGCTGGCAGAGTTGCCTCTTGCTAGCAGGGAGGTCAGTCTTTTGTTGTATTCAGTCCCTTGTTGATTGGATGAAACCCACCCACATCATAGATGGCAATCTGCTTTATTAAAATTTCACTAATTTAAAGTTAATCTCATTCAAAAATAACCTCACACAAATATTCAATACATTGTTTGACCACATGTCTGGGTACCATGGCCCATGCAAGTTGACACATAACATTAACCAACATGAGTTGCTATATTGTTCTGGAGACTTCTGTTATGTTTGGACCCTATCTGTCATGACCCTTCCTGGAAGAAAAATTTTATAAATGATGCTGTCATAATTAACATTCAAATTTTAATCTCTGCATAATTTACTGAGGTATACAGTGTGAAGTTTAAATACAATTAGGTGTGTTTGTGTGTGTGTGTGTATAGATATACACACTATATATATAGAGAGAGCTATATATATAGTGTGTATATATAGATATATTTCTATATTTTGCTACATATAGATATTGCTATCTCTCTATATATATATACACACACACACTATATTTAGTGTATATAGTAAAATAAATTTAGAGAATCATAGCTATCAGGTCTATAGACTTCCCACACTAATCACAATCATTAGCAATCATTAGCAACCAATCATGGCAGTAAATTAGCTTCAATATATATTTGTGTATTTAAAAATTTACTTTGAGAAATTCATAGAATTGAAATTGATGGATCAATGGCAATCTGAAGAATTGATGACAATTCTTCACACTTCAACTGATGGATCAATTTCAATTCTTCACACTTCAATTGATGGATCAATTTCAATTCAATGATATGACACAAAGGCTGTTAAAAGAGAGAAAGAGAAAGAAAGTTAGGCAATTTATCTTGCGTCATGTGATGAATAGAACCCACCCAAAGATGTCTAGGCCCTAATCTCCTGAACTTGTGAATATGTTGCCTTATATGGCGAAAGGAATTTTGCAGATGTGATTAAGCTAAGGATCTTGAGATGGGACATTATTCTAAATTATTTGGCTTTGCTCAGTGGAATCATGGGTCTTTGTAACAGGGAGACAAGAGGGGCAAAGTCAGAGAAGGTTGTATTGTAACAGAAGCAGAAGTTGGAGTCATGTGCTTTGAAAGTGGTAAAGGAGCTATGAGCCAAGGAATGCCACCAAGTTCTAAAAGCTGTGAAAGGCAAGGAAATGGAAACCTAGCATCTCCAAAATGGACACTGCCCTATGGACACTTGAGTTTAGCTTATTGAGACTAATTGTGGATCTCTAACCTGTAGAACTGTAAGAGAATAAATTTATGTTGTTTTAAGCCATAAGGTTTTTTTTTATAATTTGTTATAGAAGCACTAGGAAGCTAATATATACCATTTATTGAACAATTATCATTTTCTTCACCGATCCAATATTCAGCATTTATCATAGCTGTTCCAGGAATAATATTTAGCAAACAACAAATTGATGTATTTTGATCTTAAATCATGTTTCCTTGTAGCTTTCCGTCTCCGAGGCCTACCTCCCAAGTTTTTTGCCTCAAATAAGGAAAAGTAGCTACTTGACTTCTTTAGCAAGACAATCAGTTTGGTAACCAGAGAGACTTCTCCAAAGTTCTTTTGCCTGTTACATCCAGACAAAGTCTCGCTGCTAAATACTAGAATGACATGACACAAAGGCTGTTAAAATAAGCCAACCCTTTTTAACCCAGTGTGGATTAAAAGGATGGAAGAGAGGAAAAAGCCGTGGGAATGTGGTCTCCCACATATACCCTTAGCTACCTCTCTAAGAATGAGTGGCTTTCCCTCACATTCTGGGAGAAACTTTTCCGCCTAGACCCCTACCTTACAATGTGAGGCCCAAGCAGAGTTAAATGGGAAATGTGTCTCATAGTGAGAAGAGAAAGAATTTAATAGTTTGCCCTCACCATCCTTCCTAGGGAAGCCTCTGTATATTTGAACACAAAGTTGAGAATCAGTAGATCCGCAACAATGCTCATCAGTGTAGTAGTGACAACCTAGCCTGAGGCTAGAAAGAGAATATGGCCAGCTCCAGAAGGTCTTTTTTATTGTTAATTAAAACAATATGTATTATCTTTAATTAACAAATAATAATTATATGTTTATGAGATATTATGTGATCTTTTGATGCTAGCTAGATTCAGCAGAGAGAAGGCTGCTTGAGTAGGTAGGATCTATGAGGTTAGAAAGAGCCCACTGAATATGTTCAAGAGCTGAAATTTAAAAAAGAAAAAAGACCACACATTCATCAGCTACCACCTGGACCAAGCTGCCATATTTCTCATGTGGGTCACTTCAGCAGACTCTTGTTTCCCTGTTTTTACCTTTTGTCCCGGTGCAGTCCATCCTGCATACAGCATCAAATATTCGTTAACCCTCTGCTCAAAACTCTCCAATGGTTTTCCACTTAGAGTAAAAACCAAAGTCCAATTTGATGTAACTGCTATCATCTTTCCAACCTCAATTCCTACCACTAGCCCTGTCAATCATTCTTCTTCAGCTACCCTGGCCTCCTCTGTTGTTCCTTTAACATGCTAAGCACCTGCTCACCTCATGGGCTTTGAGCTTTTCTTTTCCTTTCTTGGAATGCTCTTCTGCCAGGCATATATATGACTCATTTTTTTCCAATCTCTGCTCAAACATTACCTTATTAGACAGTTATTTCCCCACTGCTTTATATAAAAAAGCACCCATGTGACGCCTTACTCTCCATATTCTTTTTCCTGCTTAATTTTTCTTCTTCTCTTTTATCATCACCTGCAATATGATACAATTATTTCATTATTTCTGTCTTTTCCCACTAACATATGAGGAGAACCATGCCTGGGCCATGGCAAAGACACAACATATATCTGTTTATTTTAATGAATTAATCACCCATAACCAACAGAACTGTAGTAGAGTGGTGAGGATATGTCTATTATTTAATATTGAGGAATGAAGTATAGTCATTTGGGATACCTCTATTTTTTTAACTCATTTTTTTCTTATCAACTTTAAATGAGGGTGGGCTACATCTGCACACTTCCAAATTATGGCCTTGGACTCAAGATTTTATAAATATTTCTGCAATTAAGGATAAGAAATAATGAATTATAAAATTTGACTTTAACCTCAGAAGCTTCTGGTAAAATTTAGATAAGAGGTCATAGAGAAAATAGTTCTGTTGCTTTCATAGAGCAGGAATATTCATGCCATCTTATTCTTAAAAATCTTCCAGAGTTTCTTTTTTTAAAAAGTAATGCATGGCTGAACTCTTCTTCTCACATTGTCCTTTTTTTTTTTTGCCTCCAGTAAAATTAAGCACTGTATGAATGAAAATAGATAGAGATAGTAAAGTACATCTTTTCCAAGAATATAACATAAGCCTGTGAACATTTCTTAGGTCATAGTCATATCCTACCCTCCACCCTCAAACATATGCTGACATGTCACAAGAAATGATTAGCTATTTTTTGGTATATTGGAAAAGTCATTATGATTCAGTGATGTAAGTACATCACTATGTACTTACTTATGTAAGTACTTACGTAAGTGCTTACTTACGTAAGTGCTTACTTATGTAAGTACTATGAGGGAAGAGGTTGTTACCAACACATGATAATACCATGAGTCCTCTGAATCCCAATCCATTGTATTGACTCAGAGGATCTTCAAACAAGTAATTTCTAAAAATTATGACTCAACTCTATTAGAATTTAATGGGGACATAGATATAAAGATCAAGTTTTAAGAGAAATATCATATACGACTGTAAGGCAAAGTTACTTAATCTGTTTCTATCTTTGCCCATGAAAATCTCAAAACAGCATAGTTTCTCAAAAGCAGATCAAACTTGAGCCTGAGAAACGTAGACCGGAAGGCTCGGCATGAAATTTTTTATTTTTGTCTAGTTTGAGCTAGAGAACATGTGTGCTAGGATGGAAAGAGTCCTGCTCTAAGAATAAGAGAACCATAGATTCCATCCAATTGGATCACTAACTGTATGACTTCAAATGCCTGTGGGCTTCAGTTTCTTCATAAGCAAAACAGTGGGGTTGCATAAATGACATTAGGGGCCCATTTCTGACTCTAGCTTATCATAAGACTAATAAAATTACCAACAAATCTATCTTCTGATGAAATTTAAAAAATAATTTTGATGTTTGCATATGCTAATTTTAATTGGGGGAAGCTGAAGAAGAAACTGAATCCATTTGGGATTACTATCTGACCTGTAGTAACAAGGAGATAATTTGGCAATTTGACAAGTGAACATAATGAACATTTTAGAAAACTCCTTCTGGTCCAACCATATATGAACTCCAAAGCCCACATTAAATCCTCTCCTTTGTGAGGAACTTTTCCAGATTAAAAATGTAAGAATTCCTCATGACTCCAAAGCTTCAACCAATTGGATCCAAGCTTTCAAAATACACTCTCCAAATACAAAAACAAATGACCTAAAACAGTACATTAAAATACTTTGCCAATATTTTCTCTTCTTTTTTTCCTACTGAAATAGTAAATATCTGAACGAAGAGACTATTTCTCTTTTTTTTTTCTTTTAAATTTCATCAAGTGACTAGTTTTGAGCTCATGTTCATGGTTTGGGTATTGAACATTTCATCATTTTATTATGTGAATAATGTATCCTATAAAATCAGGTTCTGTTTTTATTCTTATAACATCAGATTCCTGCTGTTCCATGAATTAATATTAACTGTGTTTCTGAGAATATGATGATAAAATGAAAGAATAATGATCATTGACTGATGAGTTTATTGGAGGTGGTTTGTTTCGCTTAGTTTTAGATTGTCAGCATCTACTCTGCTAAAGGCATTGGATTTCTATTTGTAATACATTAGACTTATCTTTAAAACAAATGAACACTGGAGACTACCAATGCCATAGATGAGCTCCTGCATGCTAATCTTTACACCACATTTTGCCTACAATTTATTCCTTCTCTGACACATTTAAACAACTTTCTCAACTCCAGATGATTTGGTTCATGACTTTCTTGAGATATAAATGTGTTGGCCTTAACATATGATGTATCCCTGCAACCAAGGAGACAAAAATGTTCTGTAATGTTCCATATCTAATTCCAGGAAAAAGCCTTTTCGGTTGTCTAGAATGTTATATAGTCTTAATAGAATTCAGTGAAGATTATTTTATTCTTATACAATATTGCTTCAGAACAAGAACAAATGGTACATCTGTGTATAAAAGTTAATTTTTCAAAGGCACGCTTCATTCTAACATCAAATTTAAAATGCCCTTTGAAGAACCTTTTGAATCTGAGAAAACAACAAATCAAAGATTGTATATCTAGAAAACCCCATCGTCTCAGCCCAAAATCTCCTTAAGCTGATAGGCAACTTCAGCAAAGTCTCAGGATACAAAATCAATGTGCAAAAATCACAAGCATTCTTATACACCAATAACAGACAAACAGAGAACCAAATCATGAGTGAACTCCCATTCACAATTGCTTCAAAGAGAATAAAATACCGAGGAATCCAACTTACAAGGGATGTGAAGGACCTCTTCAAGGAGAACTACAAACCACTGCTCAATGAAATTTTATTGAGGGTACAAACAAATGGAAGAACATTCCATGCTCATGAGTAGGAAGAATCAATATCATGAAAATAGCCATACTGCCCAACGTAATTTATAGATTCAATGCCATCCCCATCAAGCTACCAATGACTTTCTTCACAGAATTGGAAAAAACTACTTTAAAGTTCATATGGAACCAAAAAAGAGCCCGCATCGCCAAGTCAATCCTAAGCCAAAAGAGCAAAGCTGGAGGCATCATGCTACCTGACTTCAAACTATACTACAAGCTACAGTAACCAAAACAGCACGGTACTGGTACCAAAACAGAGATATAGACAAATGGAACAGAACAGAGCCCTCAGAAATAATGCTGCATATCTATAACCATCTGATCTTTGACAAACCTGACAAAAACAAGAAATGGGGAAAGGATTCCCTATTTAATAAATGCTGCTGGGAAAACTGGCTAGCCATATGTAGAAAGCTGAAACTGGATCCCTTCCTTACACCTTATACAAAAATTAATTCAACATGGATTAAAGACTTAAATGTTAGACCAGAAACCATCAAAACCCTAGAAGAAAACCTAGGCAATACCATTCAGGACATAGGCATAGGCAAGGACTTCATGTCTAAAACACCAAAAGCAATGGCAACAAAAGCCAAAATTGACAAATGGGATCTAATTAAACTAAAGAGCTTCTGCACAGCAAAAGAAACTACCATCAGAGTGAACAGGCAACCTACAGAATGGGAGAAATTTTTTGCAGTCTACTCATCTGACAAAGGGCTAATATCCAGAACTCCAAAAAATTTACAAGAAAAAAACAAACAATCCCATCAACAAGTGGGCGAAGGATATGAACAGACACTTCTCAAAAGAAGACCTTTATGCAGCCAAAAGACACAAGAAAAAATGCTCATCATCACTGGCCATGAGAGAAATGCAAATCAAAACCACAATGAGATACCGTGTCTCACACCAGTTAGAATGGCGATCATTAAAAAGTCAGGAAACAACAGGTGCTGGAGAGGATGTGGAGAGATAGGAACACTTTTACACTGTTGGTGGGACTGTAAACTAGTTCAATCATTGTGGAAGTCGGTGTGGCGATCCCTCAGGTATCTAGAACTAGAAATACCATTTGACCTAGCAATCCCATTACTAGGTATATACCCAAAGGATTATAAATGATGCTGCTATAAAGACACATGCACACATATGTTTACTGCGGCACTATTCACAATAGCAAAGACTTGGAACCAACCCAAATGTCCAACAATGATAGACTGGATTAAGAAAATGTGGCACATATACACCATGAAATACTATGCAGCCATAAAAAATGATGAGTTCATGTCCTTTGTAGGGACATGGATGAAGCTGGAAACCATCATTCTCAGCAAACTATTGCAAGGACAAAAACCAAGCACCGCATGTTCTCACTCATAGGTGGGAATTGAACAATGAGAATGCATGGACACAGGAAGGGGAACATCATACACCGGGGCCTGTTGTGGGGTGGGGGGAGCGGGGAGGGGTAGCATTAGGAGATATACCTAATGTTAAATGACGAGTTAATGGGTGCAGCACATCAACATAGCACATGTATACATATGTAACTAACCTGTACTTTGTGCACATGTACCCTAAAACTTAAAGTATGATAAAAAAAAAAAGCAAAACAAACAAACAAAAAAACCCTTTAGTACGTAAGGTTTATCTAGGTGCTGTGCAGAAATTTTGGCAAGTTAAAGTCATGGTCCTCTAGAACTAGTGTTTCAGAAGACATGCAAATCTAGAGAGTATATAAGTCAGGAGATGGCAAATATGGGAAAGGAACCAACTGGTTAAAATATGAATAAGGGTTATGCATTTTCCTCTTCATATAGAAAGATTGTTTTAGAAGAGGTATTGTCTGAGGAAAGGAGTCACACATCCTGGCAATTTATAATAGTAATAGCAGAAAACATTAGAGAGTGGGGAGATTAGAGAGCATTGGTAGGAATGATTTTTCTGTTTCTACAAAGCCATCCTTAGGTAGATCTTTCATGTCATCACATTAAATGTGAAAAGCATTTAGTTAGAGTGTTCATAACAAATGAGCATTTTTTACTACTTGTGCAAAAACAGAATGTTGATGTTACTTTTAGTTTTCATCACCGCTTTCTGCCTGTGATGAGCAGAGTCTTTACCTTTTTCTCATAATCCATTAAATCTTTTACTCTCTCTCTCTCTCTTTTAGCTTTAAAATGGTGTTATTCTTTCCAGCACTTGCCATAGAGGTGTAGGAGGTATATGTATTTATGAGGTACACCAGATGTTTTGATACATGCATGCAATGCCTAATAGTCACACCATGGAGAAGGGGGTTATTTATCGCTTCAAGCACTTACCTTTTATGTTACAAACAATTCAGTTATACTCTTTTAATTATTTTAAGATGTACAATTAAATTGTTATTAACTATAGTCACCCTGTTGTGCTATCAAATAGTAATTCATTTTTTCTAACTATATTTTTGTACCCCTCCCACCCTTCCCACAATTCTATTTTTAAATGTTTACGAAAATATTTGCGTGTTTTATGCCTCTCTCACTAGGTTTTAAGTTCCACCAGGTCAGGAACTGTGACTGTTATGTTCATCATTTCTGTAGCACGGGCAGGTTATCATTAAATATTTCACAGGCAGGTTATCATTAAATATTTCATAGGCAGGTTATCATTAAATATTTCACAGGCAGGTTATCATTAAATATTCTTTGTTAAAAATGAGATGAGGAGGAGATTTTTGCTTGATTTGTGAGAATAAGGTACAGATATGGATACTAATTTAGTAAAATTCTAATATGCAATTAAATTATGATATGAAATTAATTACAAATTTACTTATCTTTTATTTTTTTTCTTTTTAATTTTTTTATTTCAGTAGTTTTGGGGGAACAGGTGGTTTTTGGTTACAGAGATAACATCTTTAGTGGTGATTTCTGAGATTTTGGTACACCTGTCACCCAAGCAGTGTACACTGTACCCAACGTGTAGTGTTGTATCCCTTTTATCCCTCACCTTCCTCCCACCCTTCCCCACAAGACACCAAAGTCCATTTTATTATTCTCTTGCATTTGTGCCTTCATAGCTTAGCTCCTACTTATGAGAACATACAACATTCAGTTTTCCAGTCCCGATTTACTTCACTTAGAATAATGGTTTCCAACTCCATTCAGGTTGCTGTGGATGCCATTATTTCATTCTGTTTTATGATTTTGTAGTATTTCATGGCATATATATATATATATCTATATATATATGATATATAGATATATATATCTCTCACATTTTCTTTATTCACTTATTGGTTGATGGGCATTTAGGCTGGTTCCATATTTTTGCTGCTATGAACACGAGTTTGCAAGTGTCTTCTTCACACATTGACTTCTTTTTCTCTGGGTAGTACCCAGTAGTGGGATTACTGGATCAAATTGTAGTTTTACTTTTACATCTTTAAGGAATCTCCATACTGTTTTCCATAGTGGTTATTCTAGTTTACATTCCCACCAGCAGTGTAAAAGTGTTCCCTTTTCACCGCATCCATACTAACATCTATTATTTTTAATTTTTTTTTATGATGGCCACTCTTGCAGGAGTAAGTGGTATCCCATTGTGGTTTTAATTTGCATTTCCCTGATAATTGGAGATGTTGAACATTTTTTCATATATTAGTTGGCCATTTATATATCTTCTTTTGAGAATTGTCTATTCATGTCCATTGCACACTTTTCGATGGGATTATTTGGATTTTTCTTGTTGATTTCTTTGAGTTCCTTGTAGATTCCGGATATTGGTCCTTTTTTGGATACATAGTTTTTGAATATTTTCTCCCACTCTGTGGGTTGTCTAACTCTGCTGATTTTCTTTTCTGTGCAGAAGCTTTTAAGTTTAATTAGGCACTATCTATTTTTGTTTTTGTTTCATTTGCTTTTGGGTCCTTAGACACGAACTCTTTGCCTAAGCTGATGTCTAGAAGAGTCTTTCTGATGCTATCTTCTAGAATTTTTATGACTTCAGGTCTTAGATTTAAGTCTGATCCATCCTGAGTTTTTTTCTATAAGGTGAGAGTTGAGGATTCAGTTTTATTTTTCTACATGTGGCTTGTCAATTATCCCAGCACCATTTGTTGAATTTGTTGTCCTTTCCACACTTTATGTTTTAGTTTGCTTTGTCAAAGATCAGTTGGATGTAAGTATTTGGCTTTATTTCTGGGTTTTCTATGCTGTTCCATTGGTCTATGTGCCTATTTTTATGCCAGTACCACACTGCTTTGGTAGCTATAGCCTTGTAGTATAGTTTGAAGTGCGATGCCTCCAGATTTGTTCTTTTTACTTAGTCTTGCTTTGGCTATGCAGGGTATTTTGTGTGTGTTCCATGGGAATTTTAGGATTGTGTTTTCTACAATTATATATTCAATGAATATAATTTCAGTTTTCTTAAATTTTACTAAGACTTGTTTTGTGACCTATCATATGGTCTGTCTTGGAGAATGTTCCATGTGCTGATGAAAAGAATGTGTATTCTGCAGTTTTGGGGTAGAATGTTCTGTAAATATCTGTTAACTCCTTTTGTTCTAGGGTATAGTTTAAGTCCATTGTTTCTTTGTTGACTTTCTGTCTTGATGACCTGCCTAGGGCTGTCCGTGAGGTATTGACATCCCCTGCTATTATTGTGTTGCCATCTATCTCATTTCTTAGGTCTAGTAGTAATTGTTTTATAAATGTGGGAGCTGTAGTATTAGGTGCATATATACTTAGGATTGTGGTATTTTTCTGTTGGATTAATCCTTTTATTATTGTATAATGTCATCCTAACGTCCCTCTTTGTCTTTTTTTTCCCCCTGTGGTTGCTTTAACATCTGTTTTATCTTATATAAGAATAACTACTCCTGCTTGCTTTTTGGTATGGTTTGACCCTGTATTCCCACCCAAATCTCATGTTGAATTATAATTTCCAATATTGGGGCAGGGACCTGGTGGGAGGTGACTGAATCATGGGGGTGGTTTCTAATGCACCATCCCCCTAGTGCTGTCTCCAGACAGAGTTCTCATGAGACCTGGTTGTTTGAAAATGTGTAGCACTTCCCCCTTCACACTCTGTCTCTCCTGCTCTGCCATGGTAAGATGTCCTTGCTTCCCTCTGCCTTCCACCATGACTGTTAGTTTCCTGAGGCCTCCCAGTCATGCTTCTGTACAGCCTTTGGAACTGTGAGTCAATTAAACCTTTTTCTTCATAAATTATCCAGTCTCAGTTAGTTCTTTATTGCAGTAGTTCTTTATAGCAAGCATTTTGTTATGGACTAATACAGTTTTGGTTTCCATTTGAGTGGAATATCTTCTTCCATTCCTTTACCTTAAGTTTATGTGAGTCCTTATGTGTTAGGTGAGTTCTTGAAGACAGCAGGTACTTGGTTTAAGATATTTGGTTGGTGGATTTTTATCCATTCTGCCATTCTGTATTTTTTATTCATTTATTTATTTTGAGATGGAATCTTGCTCTGTTACCCAGGCTGGAGTGGTGTGATCTTGGCTCACTGCAACCTCCACCTCCTGAGTTCAAGTGATTCTCCTGCCTCGGCCCCTAAGTAGCTGGAATTACAGGTGCCCACCATCATGCCTGGCTAATTTTTGTATTTTTAGTAGAGATGGGGTTTCACTGTGTTGGCTAGGCTGGTCTCGAACTCCTGACCTCAGGTGATCTGCTGGCCTCTGCCTCCCAAAGTGCTGGGATTACAGGGGTGAGCCAATTTTGTATCTTTTAAGTGGAGCATTTATGCCATTTACATTCAATGTTTGCATAGACATGTAAAGTACTGCTCTATTCATCATACTAGTTGTTGCCTAAATACCTTGTTTTTCATTGTGTTATTGTTTTATAGGCCCTGAGAGATTTGTGCTTTAAAAAGGTTCTATTTTGGTGTATTTAAAGGTTTTGTTTCAAGATTTGGCTCCTTTTAGCATTTCTAGCAGTGCTGGCTTGGTAGTGGCGAATTCTCTCAGCATTTGTTTATCTGTAAAAGACTTTATTTCTCCTTCACTTATGAAGCTTAGTTTTGGTGGATACAAAATTCTTGACTGATAATTATTTTGTTTAAGGAGGCTAAAGATAGGACCCCAAACGCTTCTGGCTTGTAAAATTTCTGCTAGGTAATCTGCTGTTAATCTGATAGGTTTTCCTTTGTAGATTACCTGATGCTTTTGTCTCACAGCTCTTAAGGGTTTTTCCTTCTTTAGATAACCTGATGACTATGTGCTTAGGAGCTGATCTTTTTGCAATGAATTTCCCACGTGTTCTTTGAGCTTCTTGTATTTGGATGTCTAGATCTCTAGCAAGGCCAGGGAAGTTTTCCTCAATTATTCCCTCAGATAAGTTTTCCAAATGTTTAGATATCTCTTCTTCCTCAGAAACACCGGTTATTCTTAGGTTCAACCGTTTAACATAATCCCACATTTCTTGGAGACTTTGTTCATTTTTTCAAATTATTTTCTCTTTGTTTTCGTCCAGTTGGGTTCATTTGAAAGCCTTGTCTTCAAAATCTGAAGTTCTTTTTTCTACTTGTTCTAGTATATTGTTGAAATTTTGCAGTGCATTTTGTATTTCTCTAAATCTGTCTTTTATTTCCAGAATTTGGGATTGTTTTTTCTTTATGATGTCTATTTCTCTGGAGAATTTTTCATCCATATCCTGTGTTGTTTTTAAATTTCCTTAAGTTGGTTTACAGTTTTCTCTGGTATCTCTTTGAGTAACTTCATAATAAATATTCTTAATTCTTTATCCGGCAGTTCAGAAATTTCTTCTTGGTTTGGATCCATTGCCAGAGAGGTAGTGTGATCTTTTGGAGGTGTTGTAGAACACTGTTTTGTCATATTTCCAGAATTACTTTTCTGGTTCCTTCTCATTTGGGTAGACTATTTCAGTGGAAGTCTGGAACTCAAGGCCTGCTGTTCAGATTCTTTTGTCCCACAGGTTGATGCCTTGATGTGCTCTTCTCCCCCTCCCGCTAAGGATGGGGCTTCCTGAGAGTCAGACTGCAGTGATTGTTAATGCCCTTTGGGGTGTAGCCACCCAGCGGGGCCACCAGGCTCTGGGTTGGTGCTGGGGAATATCTGCAAAGAGTTCTGTGATGTGATCCATCTTTATGACTCCCAGCAGCACACACCAGTACCCGTTCTGGTGGAGGTGGTAGGGGAGTGAAGGAGACTCTCACTGTGAGAGTCCTTGGTTGTAGATACGTTTAGTGTGCTGGCTTTCTCAATGCTGTTTATGCTAGCAGTAATGTTGTTATGAGGTCCACAGACCCAGGACCACTGGTTAGCCAGGATTTTGAAGGCAGTGGAATTAGATATTATTTTCTCTTTCCTGGCAACACGGTTATTCCGTCATTAGTTGCTGTGATGGCCTGAGTTGGTTGGCCTCCAGCCAGAAGATGGTGCTTTCAAGAAAGCACCAGATGGGTTAGTAGTAAGAGGATCTAGGCTTGCCCTAAGTTGGCCAGGGTAAGTATTCTGATTTCTCACGTGATGGGCAGGGCCATAAAGTTCCCAGGAGTTTATGTCCTTTGCTTTTGGCTACCAGGACAGGGAGAGAAATACCGTCAGTTGGGGGCAGGGTTAGGTGGGTCTGGGCTCAGACTCTCTTTGGGCGGGGCTTGCCACGGCTACAGTGGGGCATGTGGAGTGGTTCTCAGGCCAGTGAGGGATTATGTTCCAGAGGGGATTGTGGCTGCCTCTGCTTTGTCATATACTTCACCAGAGAAGTGGGGGATAGCTGGCAGTGTAAGACCTCACTCAGCTCCCACGCAGTTGGTGAGGCCAGTCTCACTCCTGCAGTGCTCCATTCGGACCTTGCTCTAAGGTGTAAGCTTCCCCCTCTGTAACCTTGTGAAATTTGCAGCAGCGGGCTGCTTCTTTCAAATGATCTGTGAATTCTTTTGGTTTTCCTGTTATGTTCCTGTGGTGGTTCTTGGCGCAAAAGTTTACGGTGTGAGTCTCCATACACTGTTCTGTCCATCCAAGTGGGAGCTGCACATTAGCCCTGTCTCCTATATGGTGACATCATATGAACAAGAAGGTAAGATTTGACTAAAAACCAAGGCAAAAAATAAATAGTAAAGTCAGGCAGATAGGAGATCCAAATATTGAAATGATCAAATACTGCCTTTGAAATAGCTATTATTAATATTTTTATGGTATTAAATGATAAGCTAGGGAATTTAGGCATGGGTCGGGAAACTGTTTAAAAATATGCAATGAGAGTTTATAAAAGTAATGATCCAAATAGTCAAAAAACACATGAAAAGTTACTTACTTTTGTTAGTGGAAGTTAAAATATAACTAAAGTAACAATTTGCTCACCCATCCAGTTGGCAAAACAAAGAGTGAAAACTTATTTTCCTGGTAGGAGTGCAGAGGAAAAAAGTAGTTTTAAATATTCTTGACAAAACAGAAATATTACAGCATTTCAGAGAAATAATCTGGTAATATCTTTGTTGTTTTCAAAATTACATGTCTTTTAAGCCAACATTTTTACTCCTACAAATATATCTCATGGCAAACAAATAAAAGCATCAGTATTTAAAGATATATATATATATATATATATATTCTAAACAATGGAAACGAATATTTTGAAAAGGGAATATTTTTCTAATGCACAAAATAGCTAATGTTGTATATTCATATAATTAAATATTGTGAGACTTAATTGAAGTCTGGTATATATTTTTAATTGAAAAAATATATTTTAATTAAAAAATAAAAGCATCAGTATTTAAAGATATATATATTTATATAAATGTTCTGGACAATGGAAATGAATATTTTGAAATGGGGTTACTTTTCAAATGCACAAAATAGCTAATGTTGTATATTCATATAATTAAATATTGTGAGACTTAATTGAATCTGGTATATATTTTTAATTGAAAAAATATATAGTACAATTCCATTTTGGAAAAAGATCAATTGTTCATATAGCAGATAGTTTTAGTGCTCTAACTCAGTGGTCCCCAAACTTTTTGGCATCATGGACTGGTTTCATGGAAGACAAATTTTCCCATGAATGTGGGTTGGGGGATGGTTTTGGGATGAAACTGTTCCACTCTGGATCCCTTGCACGTGCAGTTCACAATAGGGTTTGTGCTCCTATGAGAATCTAATGCTGCTGCTGATCTGAGGCAGAGCTCCGGTGGTAATGCTCACTCACCCACCACTCACCTCCTGCTGTGCAGTTTGGTTTCTAACAGGCCACAGACCAGTACTGGGGGCTTGGGGAATGCCTGCTCTAACCAACATCCATTCACAAACACCCTGTCCATGCTCAGCCCCCAAACCCCACACATTCTAATGTAAATGTGATTTTGTAGAGATATCCACTCACTTCTGCATGGTCATGGAATTAAAATAATTCCATTTCTAACTCAGGGAATAAATAGTAATTGGTTTAGGCTAAGAATGATGGTTCCATCTTATCTCTTCAGCAAGCCAATGGCTAAGAGGAAATAAAGGGAGTCTCCTGGAGCTTCTTGGAAAGAGTTTTCTCACTGAATTGAGAAAGTGAGAGAGAATGTTCCTCCTGTTGATTGCTGCCATGCATGTGTGCATCATCTGGAGACATAGCAACATTGTGTGACCATGAGTAGGGTCAATTGTACACACTGAGGAGAGCAGATGAAAGAGTATTGATACTGAATTAGTCAATTCTGATACTACTCTACCTCTTAACTTCTTTCTATTTGAAAGAATTAATTTACTATATTGTTTTATCTAGCTCACTCAGAATCTTCTGTTTTATAGCTGAATATATCTTAAATGATAAACTTATACACACACACACACACACACACACACACACACACACACACACACATACTCCTTTGTGTGACCATGTGTCCAGCCTGAAGACAAGACCAGATCAACCTGGAGACAAAACTCTTGTCATATTTTTATGTTGCTATTTGAGCCAAAGCCTTATTTGGAAGCTATTTATCCAGGAAAATACCTGGGGGTAAAATATGTATTCCCCAAAACACCTTTCCCTAATGATTTCTATTTTGAATATATGTATTATCTGTCCAAAGAGCCATCTCAGTGTTAAGTACAGGATGCCTTTACTATTTTTCTTTCTCAGAGCAATAAAACTGTTAGCAGCCATAACAAAGACTATGCATAATGTTTGGTAAAATGGTGAGCTGTGAGTTAAGAAGAAACAATCATAATTTGTTAATTTCCCTAAAATGCATTTAAAAACCCTTTCACATTAATCTCTGTGATTCATAAAGAAGGGAGGCAGTCTGGCAAAATTTAAATGATTGAAAATGATGCTGGTGGCCTTCTGCAAAATCTGATTACAGCTTTGATGATTGATAGCTTGCCATTAGCACAGAGGGGGAAAAAGCCTAGAAATTGAACCAAGTAAATCAAGCAAAATCTTTCTAGTTTATAGGGAACACTTAGGCATGATTCAAAAATGTTTTAACCAAGATTTCATTTTCTGTAAATATATGTTGCCTTCGAATATGAAGCATTCATTTCAGTGACTTTTCCCTGAACTGCACTTTAATCTTGTCTTCAAGAAAGTTCGACTTGCCCTGCCACCTTCCCTGGGATTCAAGGCTGGTGTGATTTACTTAAGTGACAGTGTGCCACTCTATTTGTATTCCTGTTTTCATTTGGCAGCTTCTGAAGGATGCATGTTGCTGTTGCTGGGCAGACATGGACATTGGAAAAATCAAAAGTGAGAAAAGTAAGGAATCTGCTCTTTGCTTGGAAACTTTCCTGCATTTGCTAAATTTCCCATGTCGATTTGACATGTAGGACAAGGTGTCACAGATCATTAGCTTTAGTTTTAGTGCAATATTTATATATTCAGGCCTCTCCCTAACATCAGGTACCAGAAAAGACAATTCGTAGTACATCACAACTACATAGGAGTATTTCCAAGATGGTTTAAGCAGATAATTACAACCATGCTAGGGTTTACTATCAATTGACATATTACACAGGCCATATTGTTGCAAATTTCCAACAATTGATCAAGTAAATTACGTATAGTTATGGAGAAAATGTATACATATTTGTATACCATCATTGCATAATACAACATATTTAATACAGCTTAAAAGTATTGAGTAGCCCACCATGCCTTTATTAGCTAAATGTATCCTTACCAGCAATGCTGGTAAATATTTACTGACACTTACTGTATGCAAACACCATAAGAACTTACTACAAGTCATTATTACTGAGAGTTTACTATTTGCCAACGTTGTAGGGTCAATATGTACTGAGCACCAAGTGTGTAAGACTATAAACTCTTTGAAGGTAGAGGCCATGTCTTTATTTTGAGAGTTTAACAAAATGCATAGTACAGTGCAGTTATCTTTCTTGCAAACAGAGTTTTTTGATAAGTACACATATTAAACCGTACAACTTTTGCTTAAATCTAACTTCCACTTCCTTCTACAAAAAAGCAAACCATAAAATAGATGTTTTTATTGATCTTGTTTTACAGAAATTTAAACTGAGACCTCAGGATGATTTTTTAACCTTCCATGAATACACAACTGATTCACGTCTCAAAGTAGCATTTTCAAGATAATTTGAGAATGTGAGGGCATAGATAGTCATGGGAAATTTTAGTGGGGTGAGGTGGCCAATAGAAAAAATGTTGTAAGAATTTACTCTGTGAATGAGATGATGAACTTCTTTGACCTCCAAGATGCTCTCTTTGTTAACCATCATTCAAGTCATTGCAATGGTTCTGTATTAGTTTTCTATTGCTGCAAAACAAATCACCAAAAAACCTGGTGGCTTAAAACAGCACAAGTTTATTATCTTACATTTCTAAAGGTCAAAAGAACAAAATGGGTTTCACTAAGCTGAAATCAAAGTGTTAACAGAGCTGTATTCCTTGTAGGGTCTCTAGAAAAGAGTCTGTCTCCTTGGTTTTTCTAGCTTCCAGAGGTTGCCCACACTCTTTGGCTCATGACCCCGCTTCCATCTTCAAAAACAGCAATGGCCAGTGGAATGTTTCTCACATAGCAGCACTCTAGACTACACTTTTTTCATCACATCTCTTTCTGTGACTCTTCCTATCTCTTTCATTTATAAGGACTCTCAGCATTACACAGGACCATCCAGATAATCCAGGAGACTCTCTTGTTTCAAGATCTTTAGCTTAATTACATTTATAAATCTCTTCTGCTATGTAAGATCACATTCAGAGGTACCAGGGATTAAGACATGGATATTGGCTGGGCATGTTGGCTCAAGCCTGTAATCCCAGCCCTTTAGGGGACTGAGGCACGTGGATCACATGAGGTCAGGAGTTCAAGACCAGCCTGGCCAACATGGTGAAACCCCATCTCTACTAAAAATACAAAAATTAGCTGGGTGTGGTGGCATGCACCTGTAATTCCAGCTACTGGGAAGGCTGAGGCAGGAGAATCACTTGAACCTGGAGGCAGAGGTGGCATTGAGCTGAGACTACACCACTGCACTCCAGCCTGGGGGGACAGAACAAGACTCCATCTCAAAAAAAGAAAAAAAAAAAAAGAAAAAAAAGACATGGATATCTTTGGGAGTCCATTATTCTACCTACCTACCACATGGTCTATACAGAGAATAGAAGGAAAAAAAAATTGGGAAAACATTTCAGAAGTTTTATTTAGGAGCGTTCCTCAACAGGTAAATTTATCAGCACCATTCATCTAATGCAACATATTAAGATTGTTTAGTGAGACATGTTTTGAGTCAAATCAAATGCTAATTTACCAGTAAAATTTTGCCTTCATTTGGGATTTTGGACTACTGTTAAAGATATAAACAACTAATGTAGGTTCACTTTGTCATGAATTTATGAAAAATAACTAAGGAAGAATAGTTTTTGATTTCATATACAAAAGCATTCAAACTTCTAAAACTGATAAAAGGTAGTAGAGCTCCATTTCCTTCTCTTTGGAAGGAGACACTCAGAGGCACATCCATATTTGTGGTTAGATCTTTATTGCCATTCACATAATCTTGGTTTCCCTACAAGAATCTTTGTGGGGCACTACAACTAGACTCTAGTTATATTCATTTAATCACCTTGTAAGCAATATTTTAATCTGCTAAATCAGACTCCATCTAAGTCAGATTATTTTTTCTTAACATAACTAATTATGTTTTTTTTTTTTTGGCTTTAATTCCTCATCCAATTTCCATTGTGTACAGGATTACTCAGACTTCTATTCAAAATTCTCCTTAGGGTGCTTCCGGGTAAATTTTTAAACTTTCACTACTCTTTTAAAGGAGCTCCTGTTTTTCTTTATTTTACGTTTCTTCTTCCAAAGGTGCTAAGGATTCTCTGCAGATCCTCTGGGGCAAAAGGCGAGCTGGTGAGAAGGTCTCTGGATTTTCTTCTCCAACTTCAATCAGAGTGCCTCCACTTTTTCTGACGTATGCATTGGATTTCACTGCAAGGTTATTGTTAAAAAAATGTTTCTATAGGCTGGCATGGTGGCTCATGCCTGTATTCCTGGCACTTTGGGAGGCTGAGCCAGGATGATTGCTTGGGCTTAGGAGTTTGAGACCAGTCTGGGCAACATAGGAAGATCCCCATCTCTGAAAAAATTTTTTGTAATTAGCCAGTTGTGGTGGCATGTGCCTGTGGTCCACCTACTCTGGAGGCTGAAGTAGAAGGATCGCTTGATTCCCGGGAGGTCGAGGCTGCAGTGAGCTACGGTTGTACCACTGCACTCCAGCCTGGGTGACAGAGCGAGACCTCGTCTTAAAAAAGAAAACAAAACCAAAGTTTCTATAAACGTGATGGAATTAAGATGGCTGTTCTCTGTGAACAGTGTATTTAGCCAAGTTATATCCTTTATTGGAAACCAAACATCTCTCACATTTTAGCTTCTCACCTTTTGCTTCTGCCCCTTCCTAGGTTATTTTTCCTATCTAGATACTCTGTCCTCAAGGGCCAGCTCAGGGTTTATCTTCTGTGGGAGACTGTTCCTAATCACTTCAGCACAGAGTCATCGCTCTGGAAGGCTAAACGTGGCATTTAATCATATCTTTATTGTCTGGTGCATTTTTATTAAGGAATGGCATGTAGTGGGTTTTGCAGAAATTTAAACTGAGACCTAGAGATGATTTTTAACCTCTAGTGGGTATACAGTACATGGTGCATGATGGAAAGAAGGAAGACAGGAAGGAGGAATGCTAGACAGAAAGAAAGGAAGAAAGGAATTTGATATTGCCTGCATATTTGATATTGAAACATATTGTAGTGTCATTGATCTACCCTTTTTTTATTTGTTTAACTTTGTAAATGTAAATACAAATCTACCCAATTACTTTAAAGGGAAGAGAAGACTGCAGGTTTAACATTTATCAAATGCTATATGACATTCTAGGTGCATTACATGATTATCCTTTTTAATCTTCCTGGGAATCCTATGAAATTTTGCCAAAGAAGCTGAGAAAATTAGGCAACATTCCCCATGTCACGTAACACTAGTGGGGCTGGTCTGATACCTCAGAGTACACTGTACACATTTCCTCAGCCTCTCTGGAAGCTAGTCACTGCTTTCTAAATGTCACAGACTACCTGGCAAGAAGCAAATACTCATTTCATATTTTATGAAAAAATAAATGAATTGCCGAATGATTTATTGAAGAAGGATGACATTAATACTTTTTATTATACTACCACACTTCTACAGTGTTGCTATTACCACCTCTATTTCTACTGCCATTGTTGGTTACAGCCCAGATACTACAGCCGTTGCTTTGGTTGCAGTTGTATTCCTACCACATACCAGCTGTATATTCACAGTCAAGTCTCTCCATCATCTTCTCTGCCTCTGTCTTTTCATTTGTTGCAGGAGGAAAATAATTGCAGTTATTTTACAGAGTTATTACAAGGATTCAATGCATTTAGCCTAGTTTCTAAACCATAATAAGACTAACATTTTTTGAGAACTGACTACTACCACAACCTCCATCAATGTTTATTGGGTGTTTAGTAAATGTAAAGCATTTGTGTTAGCATTCTCTTTTTAAACGTTTTAATGGCCCGTAAAGTAGGTACTGTTACTGTTCCCTCTTATAGACGAGAAAACTGAAGCTTAGAATAGAAATTACTTGCCTAAGATCACTCCACTAGCAAATGACGAGCTGAACTCAAACCCAGGTATGCTTGATTTCCATAGTCTCAATTAGTGAGACCAAACTGTAAATGTTAGCCTTTAAAACAAAATTCAACAGCTTTAGGGGTACAAGTAATTTTTGGTTACATGAAAGAATTGTATGGTGGTGAAGTCTGGGATTTTAGTGTGCCTCTCATCTAAATAGTGTACATTGTACCCAATACCAATAGGTAATTTTTCATCCCTCACTCTCTTCAGACCCTCCTCCACCTTTAGAGTCTCCAATATCAATTATACCACTCTGTATCATACTCATAGCTTAGCTCTCACTTAAAGATACAGTATTGAGAACATATGGCAGTCCCTAGTAATTTTCTTATAGAATTCCTCTTTCTGGATAATTGCAAGCACTACTTTTAAATGAATTGTTGAAATAAAAAATAAATAGTGAGTTTTCCTCCATCCTTCTCTTTCTTTTATACCTTATATGTAATCAGCAAGTTCTCTAAGCTTTATTTTCAAAACATATCCCCAATCTGACCACTTCTACTTTCCATCCTACTCCAAGCTGCTGTCCTTTCTGGGCTGGCCAGCGATCCTGATCTCTGATATGGTTTCCCTGTTTCTTTCCTCCCCCTCCTCACATCAAGTCTCCACACAGCAGCCAGGGTGACATTTTAAAAATGCACATCAGAGTATGCCACTGATCTGCTCAGAACCATTCAATGAGCTTCCATCATATTCAGAATGAAATCCTTACTGTGACTGAACAAGGCTGTTTCTTATTTGTCACAGGTTACCTCTTTGACCCAGTCTTCTTCCACCCTTCTTTTCTCTCTCATTGCTTCAGCCACACTGGCTTTCCTGTGGCTTCTTGTGCACGTCAACTTTATTCCCGACCAGCAGCATGCTGTCTCTCTGCCTGGAACACTATTCCCCTACATCTTCATTTCGCTCACCCCTCTTACTTTATTTACCACTTTTTCAAATTCACCACCTCAGAGAATCCTCATATGACTCACCTAGCTAGAACTTCCACCTCCTTTGCCCATTATTCACCTACTTTTAGCCATTCTTTATCTTCATCTGAAATTATAAATGAATACACACAAATGCACCCATGCCTATCCATATTAATTTATTATCTGAATTATCCACAGCATTTTCTTAATATGCCTCTCTTATAAAACTCTCTCTTTCTGCAAGATTGTGAACACCTCAAGATCTGGGACCATATCACAGTCAGGACCTATTGCAGAAATCAGCACACAATAATTACTCAATAAATGTTTGTCAAATTGAATTGAATCAATATAGTTCCCTTGGCATTTATTACTCATCTACTTGTATAGATATTTAAATTGACTAAATGATTAAACAGGCCATATTTGCAGGCTCATACAAAGCATTAAAATAGTTAAAATAGAAATACACGCTTAGCTCTCTACTTTCAGTTAATGCCAATCCTTATATAACCGTGCCAATCTGATAGCTTTCATATGTAACAACTCTTTGAGGTAGATAGAGAGTAAATATTTTTATTCCCAACTTTGGGTTAAGAAAATTAAAAGTCTGCGTCGATTTTTAATGCCAGAAATTATAAAAGCCCAAATGAATGTTAGAGATTAACTAGCTAAATCCCCATAGAGATGAATACACTAAACTTAGACTAAGAACAAGTGAGGGATTTTTTCCAAGTTAATACAGACACTTAGTGGAATACAAGCCAAAATGATGAAGTATTGGCAACGCTGGAATAAAGTATATTTTTTCCTCATACATGTTCTGGAGTTTTTCCACGAGTCTGTCTTGTCTTTTTTTCTCACCTGGGAAGGTGGCATGCTAACTGGCAGGAGACCTAGTGATGAAAATACTGTGGATCTTTACACATTCCTCAAGGCATCCAGGTTGACATCAAAGAGCAAATTTCGATTAATAGTAGAACTTGACAGCAATGACAATCACTTTGGTCCTTTCTCCCCACTGCTCTTCCAGTGTGCCATAGTTCCTCATAATATTTAATTATAATTCAGCTTGTAATGCACCTAGATGGGTGTAAGTATGGTTAAAACAGTGTATTTTTTTTTCAGATGTGTTGTTTAACTTTTAATCCACACTTAATACAGGAATCGTGTCTGAAATAGCCAGGCAGGGTGTCAGTTCAGTTGTGTTATTTATCTTTAATTTATCTGGAAGGGATCTTAGGTTTTGAAATTTATGAAAATAACAGAAAGATGAATTGAGACTGAATGAGGCCACGCTATGGAATAAGCATATACACTTTGCTACATAATCTATATTAGTATGGTTTAATATGGCAACTTTCAATGCTACACATAGGGATGCCACTATGCATTTTTCTTTTTCATTAAGAGCTGGTAAAAGTGCTTAGCTGAGTACAGCTGAGAAAAGAGTCTGTGTTTTGATAGAACCTCACTTTATACCTACTTTCTTCCTCATATCCTATGAGCAAACACATGGCAGTCAACACTGAACTATTCTTTCCTCATATCATCTTAAGATTTTCAGAAGATTCTCTTTGTTTCGTTTTTAGCTTTTTTTTGAATTTTTTATTTCAATAGGTTTTTGGGGAACAGGTATTGTTTGATTATATGAACAATTACATAAATTGAAATAAATGATTTTGATTTTGAGAAGATTCTTGACACTGTTTATATATTTACACAAAGTTAACTTTAAGACTTGGGAATTTCTTCGTTTCAAAATTACAAAAAGCCCAATGCTTAGGCAAGAGAGCAGAGCTCATTATAAGGATATAGGACTTTCTCCTAGAACCTTATGTTGGGAAGTAGAGTCAAGTCCAAGGTAGTTTGAAACCTGGTACTGTAAAGCTCTCAAGAATCAAAGCAGGTGCATAGAAAGGCCTCTCTTTCTAGACAGGTAATTTCAACCTTTTTCTTTTTAGGGGGGCATTTTTCCTGAATTTTTCAGCTCCCAAGTTTACAGGTCTGGATCAAATGGCCAGCAGAAAATGATAAGCATCAATTAATGCTGATTCAAACAATCAAGACAAAGTGGATGGAGCAACATGGATAACATATCCATCTCTGCATCAATCAGGTATGGCCATGAAAAGAGGACCATCAGGGCAAACAGGCCACAGGGTCCCATAACATAGATTGAGCAGGGAGGGAAGTTATCACAGAGGGAAGTTGTGGGTGAAGCAGACACTGCAAAAGTTGTGCACTGGCAGTAAAAATGTCACCAGTAGAATTGTAAGGTGGCTTTGCTTTCCTCCAATATATTAATATTTAGTCTTGCAGATTGCTAGTTACTCATTGAGGAAGGCTTTGCTCTCTGTGTATAGTCCCCACTTTCTTTCGCTTTGCTCTGAATGTTCGATGTTCTCTTATCAGTATCTTTGGCATCACAGGGTCAGTGTTTACAGATTTTTACATCATTTATTGAACAAATATTCCCTGGTTGTTCATGTCTAATATCTCTATGTCACAGAAAAAGTGAACTTACCTTAAAATATTGTTTTTTCTTTCTTACACCAAAATGCCAAGGAATGGTGAAGAATAATCAAACATAGTGATTATGTGTATTCCTCATTTTAAATGTAGACACAGTATTCTCCAGAAGTCCTATCCTACAGGCCAATTATGTATGTTTTCCTACTCTCCAAATGACTTATTTTCTCTCTTCAAGCCTCATCCATTTCAACAAACTCTAATTCTCAGCTATAATTTCCCTCATAGTTTATTGAGCTAATAGGAATAAAGGTACTTATTTATATTTTCAACATCATATTTATTAACCCACCTGCATTTATGTAATATACTTATACTGACTGTCCTTCTCTTTCCATGGCTGAATGTGTTCTTGTTCCTAGATGAGACCAACCCTCCCCTTTTAGTCTCCTGAATCTATCCTCTTCTGTTCAAGGACCTCATGTCTGCTTTATACAGAATTCTTTTTCCAGAATAATCTATTTCTCCTTCTCTATTGAACAATTCCACTATCACTATATCCCCTATTGATATCTCAATATCTCCTATCTTAAAGAACATTCTGTTGACTCTACTGCCAACACTTTTTTTTCCTATTCTCCCGTAAGATTCTTTAAATGTGGTCTGTAGTTGCTGTTCCCACCTTATCATCTTGCATTCTCCTATCAACCCACTATAATTGTACTTCAGTCCCTGCCACTCCATTGAGACTATTCTCATTTCATATCGATGACATCCACATTGCTAGCACACTGATTAGGTCTGTTCTTTTCTTAAACTGTCTTAAACTGTTAAACTGTCTTAAACTCCATTCAAAAGCACTGATTGTGGCTGTTTATTCCATGACTATTCACATTCTGTTTTCTTGGCTTTGTGAACAGCACACTTCCCTGGCTTTTCTCCTACTTTGAGGCTCCTTTGAGGCTCCTTTGAGGCTGCTTGTTCTTGGCCTACTTTGCTAACTGCTTCTCCTCTATTCAGCTTTTAAATATTGCATTGCTTCATGGCTCAGTCCTAGACCCCTTTCTCTTCCCTAAGTACTCATTCTTCTTAGGCGAACTCACTTAGCCTCCTGCCTATAAATACCATGCATATGCCCTTCACCTTCCAATTCACTACTCACAACATGACCTCTTCCCACAACTCTGCACCAGTGTATGTAACTACCTACTTACCACATGTTTAGATTTCTCATAGATATCATAGAGTTAAGAGGTCTGAACTAGAGTTGTTTATTTTAATTTCTGTGGGTACATAGTAGGTATGTATATGTATGGGTTACATGAGATGTGGCATGCAATGCATAATAATCACAAGGGTGAATGGGTGATTACCCATCACCTCAAGCATCTATCCTTTGCATCACAAACCATACTCTTTTAGTTATTTTTAAATTTATATATATATATATTTTAATTTATAGTTATTTTTAATTTAATTTTATTTTATTTAGTTTTTTAATGTATACTTTTAGTTGTTTTTTAATGTACAATTAAATTATTTTGACTATAGTCACCCAGTTGTGCTAGCAAATACTAGGTCTTATTCTATTTTTTTTGTAGCCATTAACCTTACCTCCTCCCCCACCCCAACTACACTTCTCAGCCTGTGATAACCATCCTTCTACTTTCTATCTCCATGAGTTTAATTATTTTAATTTGTAGATCTCACAAATAAGTGAGAACATGTGATGTTTGTCTTTCTGTGCCTAGCTTACTTCATTTAACATAATGCAAATGACAGAATCTCATACTTTTTTGTTGCTGAAGAGTACTCCATAATAGCCAAAATTTGGAAGCAATCTAAGTGTCCATCAACAGATGAATGGATAAAGAAAATGTAGTACATGAACTAGAATTCTTGACTGTCACTTACTCTCACTCAACTCTTCCTATATTCTTTCCCATTCCAGTGAATGGTAAAACCACCCACTCAATTGCTTATGTCAATAAGCTAAGAGCAATCCTCAACCTTATTTTCCCCTCCTCTTACCATATAAGATCCACTACCACATTTTTTTTGCCTCTGCTTCCAAAATGCATCAAATATGTACCCACTTCTCTGTCTCTCTGCTCCTACTGCTATCATTCAAATCACCACCATATCTTGCCTGGATGTCTTTAACAAATACTTGGCTTTCAATTTTTTTCAATAGAACCCTTTGTCCATATGCCTTTTATGTTAAATTTTTAAGAAGTTGAAGCCAATAACTTGGCTCCCCCTACTGGAAATAAAACCCTCCAGTGGAACTTGGATTTTAATCTAACTCCTTACTCTGATTTATAAAATTTTATCTGACCAGGCCTGTGACCAGTTCTCTGACCTCATTATTTATACCAGATTTTCCTGAATTTATTGTAATCAAGAAAAACAAAATTAAACCACCAATCCCCCTACCTCCCATCCCTAATACACACACAAATATACCAACCACACTCACGTATATGTAGTGGCTTGTTTCCGTTCCCAACACACCAAGCTTGCTCACACTTCAGGGTCTGTCTCGGTCAGCTTGGGCCGCTATAACAAAAATCCTATGGACTTGGTGGTTTAAATATGTTTCTCACAGTTTTACAGTCTGGGAAGTCCATCACTGAGGTGCTGATAGATTCTGTGTCTGATGAGAACCCTCTCCTGGTTTTCAGATGGCCATCTTGTTGGATTTTTACATAACAGGGGTGGGGTTAACTCTCTGGTATCTTCTTATAAAAGCATTATTCCATTATGAGGGCTCCACCCTAGAACCTTATCTAAACCTAATTACCTCCCACGGCTGTCACCTCTTAATATATCACACTGGGGAGTAGGTGTTCACCATATGAATTTTGGAGGGTACATAAATATTCAGTCCCTTTCAGGGTCTTTGCACTAGCATACCGAAACATACTTTATTTTTGCGTGGCTACCTTTCTTGTAATTCACATTTCAACTTTACTACTGTCTTTTGAAACAAGCCTCCTCTGACCATCCAATCCTTTTCTATCATGTTGCCCTGTTTTCATCACCCACAGAGCACTTATCTCCTGAGACTGAAACAGAACCTGTCTTATATCTGCAAGTGCTTGATAAATATTTGTTGTTGCTGTTTTTGCACAAAGCCTTTGATGTTTTGTAGGGCAGGGATCTACTCATTTTATTTTGTGTTCTAAATAAGTAAAAGAACAACATCTAATTTGATTTGAATTATAGTAATTAAGACACAATACAGAAATGCAATTAAAAATAAAGCAAGGAGCAAACTGAACCCTAAATTGCATATTTTTGGAGGCAGCATGCAATTAACCAGAATGAAATAAATCTGCTTTTGAGAACATGGGGTGGGAATGAGAATCTATAATGATCATAGTTCTTTGGATCCTGTTTTTACATTTCATGAAAAAGAAAAAAAATTATACTGGCTGATTATCTTTACTCTTTACTGTCTGTAAACTTCCAAAGCTCTGTGGTAGGATTTTTTTTTTTCTTTGAGACAGATTCTCGCTCTTTTGCCCAGGTTGGAGTGCAGTGATGTGATCTTGGCTCATTGCAACCTCCACCTCCCAGGTTCAAGTGATTCTCCTGCCTCAGCCTTCCGGGTAGCTGGGATTACAGGTACCCACCACCACACCTGGATAATTTTTGTAGTTTCAGTAGAAATGAGATTTCATCTTGTTGGCCAGGCTGGTCTCAAACTCCTGAACTCAAGTCATGTACCGGCCTCGGCCTCCCAAATTGCTGGGATTATAGGCATGAGCCACCGCTCCCGGCCTGTGGTAGGTTCTTTATGGGAAGGTTGGAACTAGACCAGTGCTTTGGCCTTTTATCTCATGCATGGCCTTAATAGTAGCATAGGGAAAGAGACTTTGGGAATTCCAGTTTTACCACTGAATGATCTGTGGAAATCAACAAGCTGTGTAGTGAGGAGACTCAGACAGTGAACTATAGTTCTCCAAAGAATCGCTCTTGGTTTTACACAATGCACTCGTGGATATATTCTTCAGGAATTAGAAAAAAACGTGTATGAGGTGGGAAAGTTAGATGATTTCCATATCTATGGATTTAAATATCAATCAACTAGTCATTTTTACCAGGAACACAAATGTTTGTGCTGTTTATATTGTCTAGAAGTTATTCACCCTTTTTGTGATAATAGCGGTTCAGCTTTCCCCTGGGGGAACCCCCTCTTTCTCTTGCCTTCAGCTTACAGGTTTTCTGTGGAGTCAGCTAAGCCATCACTCCAGGAGCAGACATGCTTCTTAGCCTGGTCAATCAGAATATCTCATGCCCCTGGCTGTGGTAATTGGTTCACTGACAGGCAGATAATCAGAGTCAATACAATGAAATGGGACTGTTGTTGGGACTGCTGAGAGAAAAGCACTCTCTTCTGTTTCTCCTTCCTTTATCGTGACAGAATGGGGGCTTAGATCTGCTAGACCAGAGGTCTCCAAACTTTTTGGCACAAGGGACCGGTTTCGTGGAACACAATTTTTCCACGGACAGGTGGAGGCGGATGGTCTCAGGATGAATCGAGTGCATTACATTTATTGTGCACTTTATTTCTACTATTATTGCATTGTAATAAATAATGAAATAATTATACAACTCACCATAATGTAGAATCAGTGGGGGCCTTGGGCTTGCTTTCCTGCAACTAGACAGTCCCATTTGGGGGTGATGGGAGACAGTGATAAATTAGCAGGCGTTAGGTCCTCAAAAGGATTGCGAAACCTAGATCCCGCACCCATGGAGTTCACAATAGGGTTCACGCTTCTATGCTAATCTAATGCCTCTGCTGATCTGGTAGGAGGCGGAGCTTAGGCAGTAATGTGAGCAATGGTGAGGGGCTGTAAATACAGATGAAGCTTCACTTGCTTGCCTGCCACTCACCTCCTGCCATGTGGCCTGGTTCCTAACAGGCCACAGAGGGATACTGGTCCGTGGCCTGGGGATTGGGGACACCTGTGCTAGACCATATTGCTACCCCAAAAAGAGTGTGAGTACAGCTGATCAGGCCCAGGGGACAGAGAGCAATCAGGGTATGACTTACAGTTGGCCCCATTCCTGGCTTTCTTAGTTATGTAAACAAATACGTTTCCATTTTGAGTCATGTTTTTTGTTATTTGGTGTTGAAAGTGCTTCTTGAGAGATATTCAACTTATGGCTCATTTTCCTGTTTCCTCTGTGTGTGTGTGTGTGTGTGTGTGTGTGTGTGTGTGTGTAGTCATCCTTTCTGCCTTGCCTTGTAGGTTGGGATCCAGGAACACAGATTTACTGTATTCCTGATTTTGATGGCACAGTTATGTAGACTTGTATTAATTTCCAATTTTTATTTATGGCTGTCTTATGGTACTATGGCCATGTCATACTATATTTCTGAGAGCACTGAACATCAAAAATACTTATTAATATGGACATTTAATTGATAATTATCCTTGCACAATGCTTTGTGGATGTCATGGCATTGGGCTTACTGTGAGTAACAAAAAGGTTTAAAAATCAGGTCTTCTTGTCTCCAACTTTCATTTCTGACTGGAAGGATAGGATTGCTTATATGAAGCAGTTGAACTGGGAAATAGCTTTCTATAGTTGTGAAAATGGGAGGTAACATTGAATTTAATAGTTTAATAAAGGGATAGATGACTATGGTTCGGGATATCCATAGAAGAATCATGGAGTATTGGGGAATTGAATTAAACTTAAGGGATAGGCAGGCTCAGTGTAGCTGGAGAGGATTCAGGAGACTATTTTTGGTGAGAGGCAAATAGAAAAACTTTGTTGCCATTGGAAAACAAAGTGAGTGGAACAGCGGATGTTCCTTAATTGTACAAGCTATTCTTATTATAATGTGTCAGGTAAGTCATTTCCAGAATATAATTTTGTGGAATCTAAAACCAAATTTACATGAGAAGGCCTTATTTTTAGTTTACGGTTCAGAAAGTTGAGGTATTGTGCAGTTACATAACTTGCCTACATTACTCAGCTTATAGGTGGTACAATGATGAGGAAAATGGACCATAGATCTCACTACGGAGTTTGTGCTTTTGAGGGTTGCACAGGCAAAGTGGTACCAGTTCATAGAGGACCTCCAAAGCTGGCCTGAGGAATCTGGTGAGAATTCTTGAGAGAGGTCTTTCAGGTAATCTTCTAGTAGCCCACATAGTGAGGTTTTTGAGTCAGAATTTTGGTGTAATTTGAAATAACCTAAGTAATGAGGCATCTTCTTCCATGATGACATTCTGATAAGGAAGATTCCTCTAAACTAGAAGAAGTCTTTCTTTGCTTCATTTCATCCAAATTTCCTTAGGAGCTTTCTGTTCTCATCCCTAGATCCATTCCCCAGCTGGTTTCTACAGGTTAGAGTGAAATTAGAATTGTAACAGGAAAGTTAAAGCCTGTTTTGCATTAGATGTATTTAAAATCCATTTGTAAATTTTTCTAACAGCTGCAAAGTGGCTTTTTAACACATCCAGTAATTGAAATTATTTTGTAATGCAAGTCTTGTCATACATCATTAAGATCATCCTTCTACCTCTAGGCCGATTTAGGAGTGGCTCAGGCATTTGGACTGCCCTGCTGAATAAATCTAATTTGTTTATAGCTATCAGGGATGCAACATTAGGTTTGGTGATTCCAGAGTGACTGTTACATTCAGACATTCACAGTTTTACCAGCTCTGGAGTTACTTTGCAGAATCCATCCTTGTCTTGGTTACTAGGGTGTGGTAATGCCGGTCTCTTATTATTCATTATAGGTAATAATCTTTTCCCCTGAGATCTGTGCCTCTGTGTCTCACCATTAAATTTGGAAATAGAGAATTGCTCAAAATGCTGTCTTGCATTGGTTCCAGTGCCTCTGTCTTTAAAACTCCTTTCAGTCTTTGACTTTTTCAATAGTTTTCATTATCTCTTGTTGCTGTCATAGCAGTGCTGTTGCTCATTTACATTCATAGTGGTACCAAGAATGAGTAAGTTGCAAACAAAAGGTTTCACTTTAGTTAATTTTTATAGAAATACTGGTTGTATAAACCCTTATTAGTATAAGCACACTAGAATTAAGGAAAAATACAGCACGCAGGGATATGGCAACCATGCCATAAGCCAGAAACAGGCATCAACACACTCACTTGAAGAAGTCCAAAGCTGGAGAGAGTAGAGTATAGCCAGGTGATAAGCAGGTGCCAAAACAGAGACATAGGAACAAAGCCAAGGTAAAGCCACAGCTGAAGAGTAATTCAGGGCAGTACAGAAGCAGAAGCTTGAAGGCCAGTGAGGGTCAAAACCCAGCACACATCAGATGTTTCGTTGGGAGCAAAGAAATGGCACTGAGAGAGAACTCTGTTGGGCTGGGCCTGATGCTGGCTGCTTTTATTTTCACTTGTTATTTGAATCTGTTCCACATTCAGAAGCTTTTACTTTCAGAGATTCTTTAAACATCAAGTGATTTATACCACCCTTGATTGAGAGCTGATGCACGGTGCTTTGCATATATTAACTCTAATCCTCATAAGAACACTCAAGGTAAGTATTTTTACTGAAATTTTACTGATGAGGAATTTGTAACTCGAAGTGATTTAGTAAATCTATCTAGGGCTATACAACTATGACGTGGCAGAGCCAGGATTCACAGCCAGTTGTGTCTGAATCCAGCGCTGGTTTGATTTTCTCTGAATTTTCTCACAATGCTTTCCCTTCATCTGGTGGAATTCCAAGTCAGAATGTCACTTCTTCAGTTGAAATCAAAACCACACATGCACAGTAGACAGGAAGCTGAAATAAAATGTAGAGTTCAATTAGCTTAACGCATTATCTTTTCAGATAAGCTCAGACAAGTTAAATAACTTTTCAAGGTTGTTCATACCAGTTTTGCCAACACCAGGAGACTAAAGCCAATGTCTCTAGATTCATAGGCCAGTATTGTGCCCCTAGACTGTAGACCCTTTAGACCATGCCACTGACTGTCATGGCTATGAGAATTTGGAATTTTTGCCATTTACATTCTCTCCTCTGTCACCCCTGACAGCCTGTTCACTTTGAATCCAGAAATGCATTCACTGACCGAGCAAATACTTTGACCTGATCAAGGTTCAAGAGAGGTTGCTATCCAAATGAACATTTCTGTAGAAATAATTTCACATTAAAAAGGTCATAGGTGAGTGCTTGGTGTCAAAATCAATCCATCATACATAAACAGGCAGCATGTGATTACATTTTTTGGTGGTGGTTGATGCTAGGTAATAATAAATTCCTTTAGCCTCAAGGGATTGTTGCGGCTTGAGTTCTACCATGGACAATTTCATCAGTCTAGTGGCAATGAAGTACTTCTCTAAAAGAGGTGTGCAAATGGTTTCTGATATTGCGAAAACAACCCACAGATCTAGTCATTTGCATGGAAATTAGATGAAGCCCTGGAGCATGGGAACTGGCTTTGTTTTGGATGTCATTGAAAAAGAAAAACACTTATAAGCTGCCAGAGACCAAATAGCATTTTCATTCAGTCAGTTGTAATTTTTAAACTGATAAGAACAACAAAAGTAATGTAATTTTCAGTTCTGCTTGCTAGAATTACTTCAGTCACCAAACTGCCACCTCAATGATCTCTCTAAAATAGTAGTTCTCCCCATGTCTTCCTGACAAATAAAAAAAGTTTATAAATTAAAAAGTAAAAATAAAATAAAATAGTAATTCTCAAAGTGTGGTTCCCAGACCAGCAGCACCAGCCCTTCGGCATCACCTGTGAACATGTTAAAAATGAAATTCTTAAGCTGCACCCAAAATTTAATGAATGAGAAACTCTGAGGATGGGGTCCAGCAATCTGTATTTTATCAAGCCTACCGGGTGGCTCTGATGCCCACTAAGGTTTGAGAGCCACTGCCCTAGAGTCTGGACCTATTTATGCCACACTGGCTTATATATTAAGACTATGTTGTTCGCGTGTGTCAGGAACTCAATTCAAATTAATTTAAATCCAGATTTGTATTGGCTCTTTTACCTAGGAAGTCAAAATGGGCAGCTCATACACTAGAGCTCAAATTACATCATCAAGACATTGTTTCACTGCAGCTCTTGGGTCTGTTCTCAGGGTTGTTTTCTTGTTAGGCAGTTTCTCTCTATTTGAAAAGGGGCACTGGCAGCCCTAGGCTTGCATAATTCTCATGGACCTTTATCATAATAGCCTCAATCAAATTACAGGGATGGGGGTTACTCACATTAGCTTCTCTTGGGTCACTTGCCCATCCTTGAACTAATCATCAATGTGGCCAATTAGATGGAGGATTCTGATTAACCAGCTCTGGGTTATGTGTTCTACCCGGAGCCAGTGAGTGGTGTCAGCACCACCTGAACCGCATCTCCCGAGTAGGGGAGGACCATTTCCCAAAGAAAGAGATATAAAATAACAACAGCAAAAATTTAAAAAGCACAGACATTCATTATGAAATCCTTCCCTTACAAGGTTGTTATGAGTTAAAATGTGTATTCCTAAAATTTATATGTTAAGGTCCTAACTCCTCAAACCATAGAATGTGACCTTATTTGGAAGTAGTGTCATTGCAGATAACACTCGTCCAATATGAATAATATCCTTATAAAAAGGGAAAATTTGGACATACACATACACATACACATGTACACACAGACACGGAAAATGCCATGTGAAGATTGGAGTTAGGCTGTCACAAGCCAAGGAACTACCCGAAGCTAGGAGAGAGGACGGCATCAGATCCTTTCCTTGTACTTTCAGAGGGAGCATGGCACTGCTGACACCTAGAATTTTAGACTTCTAGCCTCCAGAATTGTAAGACGATATATCTATGTTATTTAGACAATATGTTTGTGGTATTATGTTACAGAAGCCTTAAGAAACTAATACAAAAAGCAAGCGCTTATTCCTTCTAATCATACGTAAGGTTGCTATCAGTGCTATTCAACATTGCCTGCATATTAAAACTCTTAAGGCAGTGTATCATACAGATTTTCAGAACATAATGGCATACTCAAGAATAAATGATGAGAATTTTGTAAAGTTACTACTTATAGAGGTGTGGGCAGGGTTATGGGAACCACCAAAGGATGGCGAAGCATCTAGAGCTCCAGGCAGCAAAATGCTGTTAGGAACTCAGCTGAGCTGGGAAAGGGAGAACTAAGCTGCCAGGTGTCAGTGTAGCCAATTAAAACAAGCAAAAATGAGAAAGTTAAGCCTTTAATCACTTACTGCAATAATAAAAGCAAGAGTCTGAAACCAGAGAAATCACCGACTCCTACTGTTCCATTTATCCCCATGGAAAAGAGCACCAGCAAAGGGCCAGGTGGATCAGCACTGATTTGGGCAGATTCACACTGTTGAGGGAGCCCCAGCTAAAGACTCCGGCAGTTGAGAACCCTAATTGTGTAGGGAGTGGAGTGGTGAAGACGGGCTAGGAGTGGAAAAGTATTAGATACTGTGTCAGAGTGTGGAAAAATGTCTTTAAGATTTCCCGAGTCTCCCCACATAAGGAGCCCTTGTTGGAGGCACCTGACGAAGACCTCTGCCCAAGGCCTGAGACACTAACCTAGTACTGAAGCTGCTGGGGCTGGGAATGCAAACCTGTGTTACACTGTGACTGGCCAGAGGGGCCCGAGTTCTTGGCTGCAACTCCTCCTAGAGACTGCACTGTATTGGCTGTGCACCAAGCTGATGTGGAGACCAGCTGTCTCACGTGAGGCCTCTTAGGTAAAACTTTTGTCATTGCCTAGAGGCAGGCCTGAAAAAGCACATTCAGGGTTTTAACCAGGAGCTGAACTCCTCAGATGCCATGCAAACTTTTTTGCCAGGCAAAAAGGGAAATAGTGCAATTGGAGCAAAGTGAAAGTCATTGTCATGGCAGTGATCACCTGAGGATACTAAGCCATGCTTAGAGCCACAGTAAGGCAGGCGGAGAGCAGGGTCAGGGAACAAATGCTTTCATATCGCTCTCCTTCTCTTACTAATGGCTCCCCCAACCCCTTTTGCACCATGATTGGCCGAACCCAATGGGAAGGCAGAGGGCAGGGGAGCTGGAGGGATGCAGTTCTTAGTCTTAAGCCTTCCAGACACAAATCAGTGCAGAGAATGAGACGAAGGGGAAACTCAGCACTCTAAACTTTTTTTTTTTTTTTTTTTTTTTTTTTGAGATAGAACCTCGCCCTGTCACCCAGCCTGGGGTGCAGTGGCATGATCTGGTCTCACTACAGCCTCCATCTCCTGGGTGCACGGGATTCTCCCACCAGAGCCTCCAGAGTAGCTGGTACTACCAGGTGTGCACCACCATGCCCGGCTATTTTTTTTTTTTTTTTTTTTTTTGGTAGAGACAGCATTTCACCATATTGGCCAGACTGATCTTGAACTACTGACCTCAAGTGATCTGCCCTCTTTGTCCTCCCAAAGTGCTGGGATACAGGCGTGAGCCACTGCACCTGCCTCTGCCTCCCAAAGTGCTGGGATTACAGGCGTGAGTCACCATGGCCGGTCCAAGGAATCTTCTATATAGTGGTGAGGACAAGTTATCCAAGTGATTTGAGTACAAGGCATTGAGTTAATGAATATTAATGACTCTAGCATGTTGTAATAAAGGAATAAATGTGACTTTTTTTGTGGGAAACAAAAGACGTTGCATAAGTACAGAATTGAGATAGCAATGTCTAGTTATGCAAGGTAGATATTTAGATATTAACAACCTAAAATCCACCTGTATATTAAAAAGTATGGCAAAGGATACTGAAGGTCTATTATAAGGAGAGATGACTCATTAAGACACACACACCGAGCATGAAGGCTGAAACTGTAATGCATAACTCAGTTCAGCCTTATTTAATTTCAAGTGATGAACAGCAATTTGAAGTTTTACATTCAAATGAGACTTACTTGACTCTTTTTACCAAGTGAGTGCTGTGTGATTAGGGCCATAAAGTTGTGCTTGTTGGTTAAATCTAGTTAGTCCTTTTTTGCACATAGCAAATATATTTAGAACTTAGCTTGAAGAGAATGATATGTGACAGGGACTTCTCTAGAGAGAATCTTGTCTCCTTTTTTTAGGAGAGAAATATTTGTGAAATAGCATCTGCTTTGTCCACATAACTCTGAATAAAGGCCAGACTTGCACAGGAATCCAGATTGAATGGGCAGAGGAAATACCTTTCTGGTTGAAGTCCATAACTAGACCCTTTCTTTAAATGTTTGTTCGTAAGCTGCCTTGTTTTAGTTACACATAAAGCCATGCTGATGAAGTGAATTTCCAACGGGATACTCTGACTAGGAAGCTAATTCAGCTAATACTTTCACTGGGAACAGTGGCTTTTGAGAGCCTTGCTTTGAATTATGCAATTTGCCATAAAACTCTTAAAGCAACTATTTTCCTTTTATTTTTTATTTCAGAAGTTATTTTCAATTTGACAGCTCTGTGCCATATATTTATAAAAACTTCTTTTTAATGACTTTAACACTGTTTTGAGGTTCATTATTCTGAGAAAAACCCCAAATTTTGTAGTTAGTATGACACTGTTTACCATTCCCATACTATGGAAAAATTTCCAATATTGACAACATCAAAATAATCTCTGATAACTGAAATAGTTCTAATGGACTTTGAAGACAGGCTCAATTTCCCAAATCTCCCTCAGACACACTATGTCCTTGCCTGCCAACCATGGTCACTCACATTGAGGACTGAGGAGGTAAGGTTTGAAGAGATTTAGAATACTTGTATGAGCAGAGGTAAATCTATGAACTCAAGTAATGTTTTAAATACATACAATTTGAGCAATAGTAGCGGCTTTTAATAAATAGTTCCGTCTGCCAAAGAAAGGGTAATATGCCAATGTGTCTTATGTTCAATAGGTTAAGGGATGACGATTTCCAAAATTCTTAAGATGCTCGTTCTAAACAGTATGTGTATAAGTAAGTGAGCATAAAGTTTGTAGAGCAATTTTCTCCACATACCCATCTTTGGACCAGTACAAGTGTTTGGGTTGCAGTTTCAGTGGTCTGTACCACAATAAGAATGCTTTCTGCCCTTCCTAATGCTATTGTTATTCATTTTAAAAGGTTTCCCTATAATATTTCCCCTTCCTATATTTTTGACTTTAAAATGATTACTTCTTTTATGAAATATCGAGATGGTACTTGGTAGAGGTTGTTATTATTACTGCTAATGTTTTATTAATGCCCTAACTTGTTTGTTAAAGCAAACAACTTTGCATGCCATTAAATTTTTATTTTTATTTATTTATTTTTTTTTATTTTTTGAGAAGGAGTCTCGCTCTTTTGCCCAGGCTGGAGTGCAATGGTGCTATCTTGGCTCACTGCAAGCTCTGCCTCCCGGGTTCACGCCATTCTCCTGCCTCAGCCTCCCGAGTAGCTGGGACTACAGGTGCCCGCCACTGTGCCTGGCTAATTTTTTGTATTTTTGGTAGAGATGGGGTTTCACCGTGTTAGCCAGGATGGTCTCGATCTCCTGACCTCATGATCCGCCCGCCTCGGCCTCCCAAAGTGCCCTAAATTTTTTCAAGTCTGTTCCGGTAATGACATAACACTAGGAACTGCTGTTTACAGAGTGCTGGTCTTAATGATCAGGAATCTAGAAATAGGTATGGAATTCTTTATATTTCTACTCTGTAGACTGTAATATGCATGTACACTGTAAGACAAAGGATAAGGAAAATGTACTTCCAAGATGCATTCTTAATTGATAACTTAGCATGTCATCCCTCAGTTAGTCACTGTTCCCCTTAAGAGAAGGGTTTCCAGGAATAGCTCCTTTAGTTTCTCACTTGTCTTCATCCCCACCAAGACCATACAAGGAAGAACTGCTATGGATTTGTCTGATTTTTGCATGGCTGTAATTATTGTGCATAGATGTAGCTGGTTTTCTCACACTCTGTATTCCATGTTGCCTGAGTGCTAAGAGGATCCAGTCCAGGAGTGGATCTGATTTTATTCCCCCTTATCTTTCTCCCTCTGTGATTATGTATCCAGTGTTTAGCTAGAGTGCAGCAATATCTGAGGTTCATGTTTCAGTGTATGATTTGGGGATCATCATACACTGCTATTCTAGTCTGTGGTACCATTATTTCTTGATTATATTGTTCTCTTAAGAAAGTTGGGGGTGGAGATATATTCTGAAATAGGACTTGAGTATTTCTAGATTTTCTGGCTATTGCTCCACCTAATAGAAACTCAATTACAGATTAATAACTAATATTCCAGTACAGTCATTCCAGTAACCATGGGTGATTAGTTCTAGGACCTCCCTAGGACACCCAAATTCCTAGATACTCAAGTCTCTCATATAAAATGACATGGTATCTACATATAACCTATGCACATCCTCCTATAAACTTTAAATCATCTCTAGATTACTTATAATACCTAATACAATCTAAATGCTATGTAAATAGCTGTTATACTGTATTGTTTAGAGAATAATGATGAGGAAAAACATTCTGTGCATGTTTAGTATGAAACAATGTTTTTACAAATATTTTTGATCTGCAGTGGGTTGATTCTCTGGATATTGAACTCACAAATAGAGAGGGCCCACTGTACCTGGAAAAATGTCAACTCGACTCTTCTGTTCTAAGAAGATATTTCTATAAAACTCAGAACAAGTTTCTGAGATTGTTAATGGCCAGTTTTGTCTTCTCTTTTCCCTAGTAAACTTTCTTTACTCCATTAATCTGTTTATCCCTTTCTCCATGAGATCACCATTTACCTAATAGAATTGATTCTCATAGCACGTATTATGCTTCATTGCAAAATGTTGGTGGAGGTTTATGTGTCTCCTAAACACTAAATTCTTGAGTGCAATGGCTGAATTTCATTTATCTTTGTATCTCCAGCTCTTATTACTGTGCTTGACATGTGATAAATATTCAGTGAAATTTGTTCAATGAAGACGGGAAGGAATAAATGAATGGTTTAATTAATTTCATCAAGTTTGGTAGCCATGCAATTGCAATGAATATTTTATTATATTAATATATATAATCACCCCTGTCCTTAATACTCAATTCCCCTCAATCCTAGTTCTGTGAGCTGGTAATAGGAACTCTATTTTCCAACCTTCATAGGTTTGCAGATTGAGTTTTCTTTGGTTTGAGATTCCCTGGGATAGCCATGAAAGTGTCAGTCATTCCTTTGAGTGAGGCCATAATCAATACTTTCCCTTGTCCTTACGATGACATCATATGACTTTTTTTTTTTTTTGCATTTTAAAGCACTGTGACACATATTTAGAAAAATAAATTAGCACCTTCATCTGATCTGACTTTATATATGACAGTAACAGCAAGTTCTTATGCCAGTGCCTAGGCTAATTGACATCACACAGAAACTCCGAATTGCACATATATTTGTATTTCTATAATAAATATTGCAGCCTCTGAAGTTTCATTTTTCTTGTTTTGTTTTCTTAGCACATCAGTTTACCTTATAAAGGCATTCTTTATATGTAGTCAGTCCCATGTAGGTCATTTTTCAGACACGAAATTTCAGCATAGAGAGAAAACTGATTTCTCTTTTTAGTGTCTATAAATAGCTGTATAATACTTTTTAAAGACACTGGAAGTAAGAGGAAAGAAATCTGGAACCTATTACCTCCTTGTCATCAATAACTACAGCTTTATTAATTCAGAATGGGATGGCTTTTTGATAACTTCTTTTGTTTGTTTCTTTCTTTTTTGCCAGTGCTACAATTTATTAATATTCAGATCATTGCTTGAGATAATCAGTCTGTAACTTTATATTAGTCTTCCTATAAACCCATAAGTTTGCAACTTTCCTGTAAACCCATATGTGAGCTATATAAGTTACCACCCTGTACCCTAGCCTCCTTGCCTTCAAAATGAAGATTTGGACTAAAATTTCCTGCAACTGTAATATACTATAAATCTATGAATATTTATTGGGTTTTCCCTACAATCTTAGCTAGTTAAGTTCCTGATTTTTTAATGTATTTTATTCAAGAATACTTTCAGCTTTATGTCACTGCAAATTTGAAAAATAGTACCTCTAACACCTTCACCAAAGTCACTGACAAAAATATTGATCAAGATAGACTGGGGACCAAATCCTGCAGGGAATCAATTCATTAGTTGCTCCTCTTTGGGCATGGTACTTCAATCAATTATGAATCTACTGAATTTTACTAGTGTCTTAAACCTATTTTAATACTTTATATACAGTTATCAGGAAAGGATTTTCAAATGCCTTACTGCAATCCTACTAAATCATCTGTATATCAGTCTGACTTAGCCATCTTTCAACTCTACAAAAATGGAATGTGACTCACTTGATACTGCCCATTTTAAATTACTCATGTTTTTAGCAAACCTATTTCATCCTCTTAAAACCCACAAATCACTCCCTTGCAACATCATTCTAGAAGCCTTCCTACACAAAACTTGCCAGTCAGAAGTTAGTAAAATCTGCCTTCTACATACTGAGACTAGAAAAGACCTTTATTTGCCCATCTTTAATGTCTTTGTATCATTCCCATTCTATCTGATTCTTCCAAGAAGATGGATATGGCTCAGATAACTAATTTCCCTCAGCATCCCAGTATGCAGGTTGAGCCTGGAATTGTTACACTCTGTCTCAGTTTTTCACTCATGTTGGAATTCTGTAATTTATTTTTTATTTTTATTTATTTATTTATTTTGAGATGGAGTTTCACTCTTTCACCCAGGCTGGAGTGCAGTGGTGCCATCTCTGTCCACTGCAACCTCTGCCTCCCGGGTTCAAGCAATTCTCCTGCCTGAGCCTCCCGAGTAGCTGGGATTACATGTGCATGCCAACACACCCAGCTAATTTTTGTATTTTCAGTAGAGATGAGGTTTCACCATGTTAGCCAGACTGGTCTCGAACTCCTGACCTCGTGATCTGCCCGCCTTGGCCTCCCAAAGTGCTGGGATTATAGGCATGATCCACCACACCCAGCTGGAATTCTGTAATCATTTACCGTAATTAATTGCATATCATTTTTTTGTTCATCAAAGAAAGCAGAAAATGTAGAGGTTGAATAGCCTAAGTATCTGTCAACAACAGCATTAAAACAATAGAATCTTTGTGGAACTCTCATTTCCTTAGTACTTTCTACAAAGCCACTTTAATTTTGCGGATGGCGATTGTTATGATTTATCACCACATCGTTTTTCATACGCTCTCTATATTTCCTCACTCATTTGGGCTCATTGAATTTTTTTTTTTTTTTAGACAGGGTCTCACACTGTCACCTGGGCTGGAGTGTGGTGGTGTGATCTTGGCTCCCTGCAACCTCTGCCTCCTGGGCTCAAGCAATTCTCCTGCCTCAGCCTCTCGAGTAGCTGGGATTACAGGCACCTGCCACCATGCCCAGCTAATTTTTTGAATTTTTAGTAGAGATGGGGTTTCACTATGCTGGCCAGGCTGGTCTCGAACTCCTGACCTTGTAATTCGCCTGCCTTGGCCTCCCAAAGTGCTGGGATTACAGGCGTGAGCCACCGTGCCTGGTCTGAAAATTTTTTTATGCAACCATGCTGGTTTCTGTTTTCTGCCTCACTGAGGTATTTCACAATTGCAAGGTCAAAATTACATTTCTTACAATCTTACAATCAATTATGAATTATAATTCATAATTCCAGCCATCTTCCTTTCAGTGTGATCTGCCAGGGAATCACTCCTATGACCTCAATATTTAAAATTTACCTACTAAAAGTTTATGCTGGTTATTTGATAGACAGACTTCACGTTTTTAGATAGTAGATCTTAATAAGTAAAATTGTTAACTTTATTCACAATTTTCATTTCAAAATCCATTAAGAAGTTCTCTCACTTTTATTTAATTAATCAATGTTCCATTTTGTCTGGAGTTAGAGTTTCCCTTGAGTAGAGTTTCTCAACTTCGGCATAACTGAATTTGGGTCTGGATAACTCCTGTTGTGGGGTGCATTCCTGTGCACTGTAGGACGCTTAACAGCAGCGTCCATGGGTTATATCCACTAAATGCCAGTAGGACCATTTCCCAGTGAGGACAATGCCTCCAGATATTGTCAAATGTCCTGTTAGTGAGAAAATTACCCTGGTTGAGAACCACTGTCTTACTTGGTTCTGTTGCTCTGTGGGAGATAAAAATTTCCAGTCGAGATCTTGCTATTTCCTTTACCATCTCTCAAGCAGGTCTTTTAACCATTACACTTCCCTTCTGTGACTAGAACATGATAGACAGTAGAGATCCCTTCCCCTTTCTGGGGAAGTAGCTGTCATACAATATTTTTTCTCTCTTTTTAAAAATATTTAAACGTTGCTTCTTTATTATACTTCTGCCTTAATGTGTTTGGATTTTAAAGCAGTTGTATATATAATTACAATACAGAGCTACTATTTCCCTTCAGGACACAATTTTGATTTTATGTTGTTGTAAAATAATGTTTGCATTTAAACAATGTATCGCTTGAAGAGTTAAACACTGAAATAAATGCTAATACTATAAGCTTGTAAGTGAATGGTGAGTACAATACTATGAAAGTTTTAGTAAAATATACACAACTTTTAGTGTCACATTAACGAGCTGAACAGAGAAGGTAGAATGTTGCCTGGACTTTAAAGGAAATGTAGGATCAGATGAAAGAAAGGGAGAGTGAAAATGTCACAAGTGGTAAAATGGTGAGCAAAAGCAAAAAACTCCAGAAAGCAAAAATATTTGGGAAAGGGAGGTATAGTCTGTGAACCAGTTCAGCTGGAGAAAAAGGGCCGGGGAAATGATAAACATTTTTTGGATGTTGCATTTCTTATCTATTTTTGCCATAACAAATGACCACAAACATAAGGCTTAAAACAGCACAAACGTATGTTCCCACGGTTATGTGGTTTGGAAGTCTTCGTTGGGCTAAAATCAAGCCATTGGCAGCTCTGTGTTTTTCCCTGGGGCTCTAGTGAAGAATCTGTTTCCTTCCTTTTTGCAGCTTCTAGAGACAAGTTTCATTCCTTGGCTCAGGGCCCCCTTTCTTCATTTTAAAAGCCAGAAACAACAGGTGTAGTCCTTCGCATGCTGTATCTCTCTGGTTCTTTTTTTTCCAGCAAAGGTACTCTGATTTTAAGAACCCATTTTATTAGATTTGCATACACAAATAATCCAGAAATTCTCCCTGTCTCAAGGTCTTTAACTTAATCACATAAATGAAATCCCTTTTGCCATATTAAGTAACATATTTACCGATTATGGAATTATGATGTGAATATCTTTGGGATGGAGGACATGATTCTGCTACCCACAAATGGACTGGCTACCTGTAGAGTGCCTTGAATCACTGCATACAGGTATTTTCCCTACTTCTCTGGGGAAGAAGGAGCTGTTGAAGATGATCCAGTTTCATAAAGCAACTCAGATCATCATCACCACCATCATCATCATCACACACAATAAAGTATTTCCATCATTTTAGTAACCTTCAAATTTATTTCTATTCCTCCTTTTGATCTGGCTTTCCTGCTTCATCCACTCAATTCTTCAGCACCTGGGACCGTCATTCAGCACCTTTACTATCAGTTACAACGCAGCTAGGATCCTACCATTGACAAATTTTCGAATGGGAGTCTTGACATCCTCTTTGTTCATGTGATCCAAACCAATGTTGAAGATAAATAAACCAGGGTTAGAATACTCAGGAGCAGACCTGGAATAAAAGTATTAGCTCTAAGTCACAAGGAGCATGCAGCCATGGGGTAAAGCAGAAGCTCACAGGAACCATTCCTCCATAAAAATAGTGGTGGTGACTGGCCAGAGGTTAAGGCAGTGAAATGGGTAAAGAAATCAGAGCAACCACAACACATGATATGTGACAAGAGTTGAAAGTTAGCTGGGCACAGTGGCTCATTCCTGTAACTCTAGCACTGTTGGAAGCCGAGGAGGGTGGATGAAACCCCATATCCACAAAAAATTCAAAAATTAGCCAGGTGTGGTAGTGCACACCTGTAGTCCTAGCCACTAGGGAGGCTGAAGTGGGAGGATTGCTTGAGCCCAGGTGGTAAAGGCTACAGTGAGCTGTGAGCATGCCACTGCACTCCAGCCTGGGGGACAGAGTGAGACCCTGTCTAAAAAAAGGAGACAGTTGAAAGTTGAGGCCAAGCCTGTTTCAGCTAGAAATACTGTTAGATTCTCCCTCTTGACTTGCTTGTCCAGATAGAATTAACCTAGTGCTCAAGCTGTCATGATTAGCATTTCTCCCTAAGACCTAGAAGACCTGGAACTCTTCTGATAGGATAAACATAGAGTGTTGGATGCAAAATATATTTAATAATCAGCAGTTTCCAAATATACTTTGTAATCTCCTGGGAAAAATTTAAAAATGCATAGTCCCAGACCAGCCCAGGCTGCTTTATCAGAAGCTCCAGGGAGAGGGATCAGGAAATCTGTATTTTTATACAAGCTTCCCAAACAATCACTCTAAAGAGCCTGACATAGATCAGTGGGCTCACTGTGGAAATAACAGACATGGACCTGTGTTCTCACTTTACACTGAGTGAAATTAGGGTCTAAAGGAGTTTAAAAAGTTTTCCGAAAGTCACACGTTCCATAAACTGGAAATCCTCCGGCTAAATACCTCAAGTGCAATCACTTGAACATGACAATTTGGAGTCTGGGAAGACATGCAGACACGTAGAATATATTCTGGCCAATGAAAGGTTTTATGCATAAAGCTTCTTTCTCCTTTGCCCCAGACAATTCTGGACTTGTCATTAAAACATGGCAAAAACTGAAATATGTCACTCAAAGACCTGATGCTAAATGCCTGACTAGATTTATGCTTTCATTTGCTCCAAAGAATAAATGGACAATTTCCCACCTGTATCATGAAGAACTTAAAACCACCTGATCTACAACTTCTGGCCTCTTGTTTCCCTCCCTACAAGTCAGTCTATTGTGCTTGAAATGTTAGACATTCATGACTTTTCTTATTCCTGAAATACATTCTCTGAAATCTTTCCAAAGAATGGGAATCTGAATAGCATGATACATTTGAAATGTCAGAAGTCTTTCTACCTCATCTAAAAGAAATCAAAAATGCTGACAGATGTGCTCAGTGATAATGGGAACTGAAGAAAATCCTCAGAAGCCCTTATAAACTACCTTGGTTACTCAATCTTTCACTTTCAATTGTTTCTCTTAGGATTAAATAATAAAAAATATATTAGAAATTTTTTTTTATCAGTTAAACCGAAGTTCTAATGTGTTTTATTTAAGGCCTCTACACTCGATCCTTCCGTCCCAGACTTGTATGGAATGAATAGAAAACTTCTTACCCCATTTCACTTTTCTATTTAAGGAATCATTGCTTAATGCGAGAGTTTTTTGGGGAAACTTTAATTCAATTTATTCAATAAATATGGTGGGGCGAGGTGGATCATGCCTGCAATCCCAGCACTGTGGAGGCCGAGGTGGGTGGATCTCTTGAGGTCAGGAGTTTGAGACGAGCCTGGCCAACATGGTGAAACCCCATCTCAACTAAAAATATAATAATTAGCTGGGCGTGGTGGCGGGCACTTGTAATCCCAGCTACTTGGGAGGCTGAGGCAGAAGAATTGCTTGAACGAGGGAGGCAAGGTTGCAGTGAGCCAAGATGGTGCCACTGCAGTCCAACCTGGGCGACAGAGCAAGACTCTGCCTCAAAAATAAATAAATAAATAAATAATAAATAAATAAATATTTACTCTGCCCCTACGGAAGAGACTGACATTAAGGTGGGCCCTATAATTTTTACCTCCCAGTGTTCATGGTGTTCATGACCTTATGTGATCCCTTCCCCTTGAGGGTAGTAAGAACCTGTAACTTGCTTTTATTCAATAGATATGGCAAAGGTGATGGGATGTACATGATTGTGTGATCATGTGTTTATGTCTCATAAGATGGTAATGTCCATCTTGCTGTAACCCCCCACCCCGCCCTGTCTCTCTCTGGCTGTCTCTGGGGAAGCAAGTGGGGAGTCTTACATGGCAAGGAACTATGGGCAGCCCCTAGAACTGAAGGAGACTTCCAGCCACCAGTCAGCCAGAAAATGAAGCCCTCTTTCTTACAGCTTCAAGAAACTGTGTCCTCTGCCAACAACATGAGTGAGCTAGGAAGTACATCCTTCCCTAACGAGCCTCAAATGAAGCTGCAGCCCTGGCCTATACCTTGATTAAAAGCTTGTGAAACCCTAAGCAGATGACCCAGCTAAGGCTTATCTGGATTCCTTACCCACAGAAACTGTGAGATAATAGTGTCTGCTGTTTTAAGCTATTACATTTGTGATATTATTGTATTGCAGTAATAGATAGCTAATATGTCCTATAATGCAGCAAACGTGATTCTAAATGTAGGGATACAATAGTTAGAAAAAAACCACACATAGAGCTCCTGCTTTCATAAAGTTACACTCCAGAGGTGGGGCAGGTAATACACATACAAATAAAGCAATTATCGCTTATGGTATGTGCTATGTATTGGTGCATATGTGTAGGGGAGTGATACTTTAGAAAAGGTTGTCTGGGAAGGCTTTTCTGAGAATGTGATATTTAAACTCAGATACAAAAGATGGGGACCTGCTGCACAAATAGTTGAGGAAAAAGAGTTTCAGGCATAGAGAACAACAAACGCAAAGATTCTATAGCTAGAAAAATTTAGGAATTAGTACATTGGTATGCATGGAATGTAATGATTCAGTGGGCAGAGTGGCAGAAATATATGATTGCATGCATTGTTTGATGGGTTGGGAAGCCAATGAATGATTTATTCTCAATAGTTATTTCTTTTAATTGTATTTCTCGGTGCACTCTGCTTCAATCAGTCTGTAAGCTCAATGAGGGAAAACTCAGTAGGGCACTGTGCTGCGCAGTCAGCAAATGCTATGTGTTGGATGCATCTAACTAAGTATGCTTACATTAAAATAGCTTACAACATTCTACAAAGATTAGACTATTTCATGGTAATGGACGAGGGGATTAAGGTCCTGATGATAAAATGTCTTAACCGGCCGGGAGCGGTAGCTCATGCCTGTAATCCCAGCACTTTGGGAGGCTGCGGCGGGCGGATCATGAGGTCAGGAAATCGAGACCATCCTGGCTACCACGGTGAAACCCCATCTCTACTAAAAAAAAAAAAAAAAAAAAAAAAAAAATGCCGGGCATGGTGGCGGGCACCTGTAGTCCCTGTAGTCCCAGCTACTCGGGAGGCTGAGGCAGGAGAATGGCGTGATCCCGGGAGGTGGAGCTTGCAATGAGCTGAGATCGCACCACTGCATCCCAGCCCAGGTGACAGAGAGAAGCTCCGTCTTAAAAACAAACAAACAAACAAACAAACAAACAAAGTATACAGATTTTCTAACCACAAAAATCAAGAAAAGAATAAAAATATAGCTACATAAAGATGTAACATTTTTCTACTTAAATAATAGCCGAAAAAATACAAAGTTAAAAGAAAAATGAATAGCTAGAAAATATATTTGCAACACAAAAGGCTAAAGGAAATTATTATGTGAATAACTCATACGTAGTAACAGAGAAAGGCAGATGGGTTTCCAAGCTTTTTCTTCTTCCTAGTCACAGATAAACTACACATACTAAACACTTAGCGTCTAGTTGAAGTTCTAGTTTTAACTGATGAAATGCAAGTGGCAGTGATGTGAAGTGTCACTTTTAGCCCAAGACAGTTAGGCAGTTATGCTGTATCCAAGCTCTTCATACTATTCATACTCCATCTGTTTACTGACTATATTAGAACTATAGCCTAAAAGACAACAGATTCATAAATGACTATATAGGACAAATCTCTATCCCACCTATACACACACATCACATTGGACTGAAAATTGACTGTGAAATAATCTTTAGTGTCCTAAACCAATCAGATTTTGAGGTGTTTTATATAACAGCTAGGCTAATATACATGTTTTTAAGAAAGAAAATGTTATAAATGTGGCAGATTACATTTTCCAAAATAGCTTAACAATATCTCCAATCAATATGGTCTTACAGTATAATATTCACAATTCTTCCACCAATAATTGGAGCCTCTGGTCTCAGGTTTTATCTGATCTCTTAAGGCTAGGACTATTTATTTCTAGACGGGTAGTCCCAAAAGCTCATTTTTAGCAGGTTGTGAAGTCTTGTGTCCTGTGAAGAGAAAATAGTGAGGAGGAAGGGAGAAAAAACAATGACAAAAGAACAATCCTAAAAAAATCAATATAGGCCACATAACTCCTAAGTCCATATGTTAGTAGGCAGGTATGAAAGTGGCTTATGTATGTAAATAGGCTACTGTTATTTTCTTCTGAAGTTTAAGTTGTCTGGCTTCACTTTGCAGGGTTTTAAGAAAGCACAGCTTAGTTTTCAGTGACTCTGAATCAGGAAAAATGGAAAAAAATAAAGAAGGAAAAAAGTTGAAAACAGTATTTTGAAGACTTATAGCCAAGAAAAATTAGAATTCGATCCAAATTGTAAATAACAAACACTGAAAAAAAGAAAACATTAGGCAAAACTAGAATTTAAAAATAGATGTACAATCATTTTAAAACTTTTTTTTCTCTCTCCAGTTTCCCATTTTACTAAAGACAAATCATGGTAGGACTGGTTTGCTTATTATACTTGGGCTAATTATTTGTATACAGTGCAGCAAGAATAATTATTTTTTATATAGGCTTTGATGGAACTTTGCTCCACAGGAGGTATCCCAGATAAGACTTTTTTAAAGCCCAGCACAACCATGGATTTGTGCCATCAATTACCTACGAATTTGGTGAATTTCCTCTCCTCTTGATGTTCCAAGATAAACCTGGGGCTTCTGCACCTGTCAGAAAATGACATTTTTACTTACCACAGGTCAGAAACCCTGTACAGGGATGGTGTACACAAAATACAAGGCCAGTTTTCCAAGAGCTTTATTGGCTCCATAAATCAAGTTTGATTCCTTAAAGGAAAGCATTCCAATCCAGTCAAAGCCTTGGTAAAATAACCAATTTCTCCAATTGTGTCCTGCTACAAATGAAAACAGATTCTTATTGCACTTTTGCAAACAACTGTATTGCCAGAAGTTAAGAATACTCACAAATAGTTTCCAAATTCTGGAGAAATCAGGTAGAGAGAAAAAAATATGCTCCAAATTTTGTTCATAGGAGTATACTAAACTGTTAAAAGCTGTCATTAGCTCAAAAGAAAAGTTTTAAGTCTCTGAAAAACAAAAGAAAGGATCGGCAAACATTTTAAGCAAAAAGTCAAAAAGATTGGTTCAGTCCACGTAGTTCATTCCTGTTCTGCTTGATACTCGTGAATATTTTACTCTCCATGAGTACTCACAGTTTTTCCTCTCTTCTGATGTCACAATCTCCAGAGTTTTCAGAAACCTGCATTTAAGAGCACCTGTTGGAGTTTTATAGCTGATTATTAAACCACTTTCTAAAGAGGACGAAAACAAGACAATTGACCATGGATGAAAAAAAGTTTTAAGGCAGCCACATTTAAAAGATACAATTGACAAGGAAATTTGTTACCTCTGTTGCACGCAATAGTTTTACCATAACAATTATGATTATTACTAATAATGTACACTAAGTTATATTAGAATTACAGCAGTTTCCCATAATTTTGGAACACATACCAATAACATACAAACACACCCCAAAGAAAACCAAACACCATTTTATATCTGACAGATGCTTCCTGTATAATTTTTATACCAAATAAGCCAAATTATGTCATTTTTGGACTTTAGGAAACCTAATGTTTTAAAGGATTAGTTAGGTTAGAAAAATATATAATTTATAATTTGATTTTGAAAAGTTTGTCAAATATAAAAGGTTTAAAACATTTGATATTACAAAATAGGATTACAGGTCATTGTAAAGTCATTTATTTAACCAAAGCGATCGTTCAAGGATTTTTTTTTTTTTAGTGAAAACCTTCATTCTTTGAGTGAGGAGACTTAATTTCCTAAATAAGAAGTCCTAATAAAAACAGCATGAAGCCAATTATGTTTGTTTTTCAAAATTTTGTAAATAATCCATAAAATTTAATTTTGACTATAAAATATAATTTACATAAGCCTTTTATAACCTTTATCACTTTTATTAAGGAGTTGGTTAATGCTTCAAGAAAACCTTGTTAGTCTGACACAGTGATCCACATACTGGTTTTGCATGAGAGTGCATTTGACACTAATGATCAATATGTAGAGAAACTGAACTTATTTTATTTTTCAAAATTGGCCCTTGCAATCTTACATGCCCATCTCTTCTGTGATAATCCCTTAGCCCTGAAGAATTGAATAGCTTTAATTTGTTTTTGCCCTGTGACTCAGGAATGCAGTTTATTTTGATTGGCATCTTCTATGGGCCTGAAGATGAGACTTCAATTGGTGTTAATGTTTAAGAGTTAGTAGGACTTGATGTCCTTTTTAGACCCAGGAGTTAAAGCCCTGTAACTCAATGTTATAAGGACTTTGAAAGTATATACAGGAAGATACATGGATGTAATAACCTTAATTAAAAAAATTTTTATATCAGTTTTTTTCCTAAGCACACCAAAAGATTATAATATGACAACTTGATTATATAAAATATATATTTTTTAAACATATAAATCCTCTTATTGGGACTTACACTGACCATTACATGCATGCTCAGACTTTCTGGTTTGTTCTGAACACCCTTCCTTTTAAACAACCAGTTATTTTATTTTATGACTAAGTTTACCATACAATGTTTTTTCTATACAAAATTATTTTTCTTTAAGCTTTTTTTTAACCTCAAAAAAATCCTTTTTATTTTTATAACTTTCTTTACATCTTTTTTTATTTCCTGGTTCCTTTTAGCTTGTTTTATACATAACCTTTAAATAGGCTTTGAATTAGACAAAACTTGTTCACTTTTTTTTTAATGACTTCTCTCTTTTTTTTTAGCAAGAGTATTTTCCTACAATATATATTTATTGGAAAATACCCAAATAATGAAATATCTATTATTTAATTTAACTTTATATTCTAAATTATGAACAGCTTGTCTGCAAGTATTTATCCCATTACATTTCCCTAATTATTTTATTTTAATTATTTACCTCAATTATTTATGAAAACTGTGATAGTCATGAATTTAAAGTTATGAAACTGTCATTGTAAAATTATAACTGAGACAGTGAAAAAAGATTTGACCTAATTGACTCCATCTTGCACTTAACCTCCAAGCTGTCCTTGTTCATTCCTGGGCATAGGCTGAACTAACTTTGAGAGGAACTTAGTTTATAGTTCAGATTTGAAACAAAAACGATAACAGTCCTTTCCCAAAACAAGCCTTCTTATTGTCTGGGGACTAGACTGCCTAGAGCCGCAGGATTAGAAGTTATGGTAATCTTAATAAATTCAAGATGCAGCTATTTTCATTAAACCCATATCAACGTCTTATTTATTAAAAACTACAAAAACAAAGATAATTCTGATTTGGGATGGGTTTATAGTTTTGTAACCCCTATGCCAAATTTTGACACCTTATGGCATATGGCAGGGATAAGTATGAAATTGATTTATTAATAAATGCAAACAAAAATGTATGCTGGCAATTCTTAAGACATTTATAATATTACTTTACCAATAATTTTAAAGCTAGCTTATTTATTAAATATTTTACTTAAGTTAAATAAAGTTAAAAAAGCGTTTGACTAGTCTTTTCTTTTTTAGTATCTGATTTAAGTGCTTTTACTTTTCTTGAAGCCAATTAATTATAGCTCTTTAATATATTTTTAGTAGTGAAACCCTGTGTACACAACACATAAATACATATAAAGACATATTAGGCATGTTGATGGAAATACATTTTATAGATTTTTTTTCCTGTCTTAGACTTTCAGATTATTGATAACCTGTTTCACAACCCTAGGCAGTTGTCAGCTAAATAGTCTTAAATTTGCACATTAAAGGAAACAACTCAGGTGAAAGTCAAGTAGCAACATTTACATCATAAGGTACAGACAGAAAAAGTCTAGTGGTGCTAGAGGGAGATGCTTTTATTTTTATGTGAGCCAAATTAAACATAAAATTAAATACACTCTTCCTTAAAAACTCAATAGTAGCCTCTGTTGCAATAACTATTTTAGTCACACACACAAAAAACATTAAGATGAAAACAGAATTCAGTCAACTGAGAAGAAAAGGAATAAAAAATTTGCTCAAGTGAGACAAGGTCTTAGGACCTTTCAAATTAATGAATTGTCCTAGAAACACTAATAAATACAAACAACCTTCCTTCCCCCACCTAAAAAATACCATTTTGTCATATGCTAACTTCTCTTTGGGAAATTTTAAATTTCTTCCACTAATCTGGTTAACATTATTACTATCTTAATATTTGAAAGCATAAGAAACTTTTTATCATTATTCTATTTCAAAATGGCCTTGTTTTGCCTAAATATTTAATTTGTTTAGTTTTCCATATGGATTTTGATAAATATGCTATTTCATAGGCATTGTGCATTTACTTTTAAAATTTGTTCCCAATTACTTTATATTAGTGATTTTGTAAATGACATTTTTTCCTGTGTGTGTGTGTGTGTGTGCGTGTGTGTGTGTGTGTGTGTGTGTATACATGTTTTTAACATATCGCTGAAGGTAGATATAAGAACTATTAGCATATAATTATCATATAAATATACTTTATCACTTTAAAGCACTGTTATTGATTCTAAGATGATTTTTTTTCTAATCTTTTTATTTCTGTGATACATTTTTATTCCAAGTTATCTTTTCCTTTGGATTTTAAGTGCTTTTTTTTGTTTTTGTTTTTCTGCTGTAGCAGATTTCATTCACTCCTTCATATATTTCTGCCTGCTTATTTATGATTGATGGAGTAAAAGTTTATAGAGTCCTTTAATTTGCAGTGGGTTTTTTTATACTCTCCTTAATTTCCCTATTGTTCAAATGTGTGCAGTTAGAGATAGATGGAGAGCTGATGTAAGTTTTACTGTCCACTCAGTGATCTGAAGGCTTAGCTGGTTGGAGATGAAGAAGAAACTGGTGTTACAGGCACTCACATCAAGAGATCACACCAAGTGCACTCTATATCTGATGCGTATTATTGCCTGCCATATGAGTCTGTCCAGTTTCTTAAAGCAGACACTTGGAAAAGATTCCTGCTTGATCAGGATACATTCTCCCACATGCTTTGGCTTTTTACTTGATGCAGCCTCTGTCCTTCCATTGCAGAAGCTATTATACAATGCTGATCAGTCACAGTATGTTAGTTTCCACATACGTTTTCCCTGTGTTGTCCATGGTGCTCTCTTACCATCTTCCTTCCATGTTGGAGTGTATGGATGGGTTTTATCTGATCCTTTTCTATGTATTTTGCCAACATTGGACCAATCTTCAGAAAAACTACATGGAAAGGATTCCTGCTATTTTCCACTGATCTTGTTTCAACACTATGTGAAGAAATTCAATTTCTTCTAAGTTGATAATATGGGATAATCATCATGTGGAAGACCATTCTAAAATTTACATCTAATCTACTTTTTAAGAGAAAAGCTTGTCTATTTTTTATTTTTCTCATAGATTCAACATCCATATTTACATTTTGTCCTAATACTTCCACAAATACACTAGCATTTAGCATGTTACGTTGACTTGGAAAATGTGTTTGCTATACGTTTTCTCTGCATTTAGCTGCACGTTGGTTGCTTTCCCTTGTGCTATTGTTAGAAACGTTATCACTGCTGCCACAACGAGTGCTGTGTGTTGAATATAAGACAGTGCTTCTCATTGTTTTTTTTTTTTTAATTATTGACCATCCTCCTATAAGGAGAATTTGTAGACTTTTTTTTTTTTGCTGACTAGCATCCCAACATTATTTTTAATGTCATGGGTATACAGTATAACTGATTATATACTCTGTCCTTTGGAATGCCACAACCCATCCCAATTTCTACATTTTTTTCATCTCCCAAAAACCAGTTTTCACATCCTGTGGATAATATTGCCCATACTGAGACCACAGTGCAATCTATATGCCAGGAAATTCACTATGTATTTTGTATTCATATTTATAATATTTTGTTGTTAATAGATTATTTTTTTAGCATGTGACTGGGCATTTCTCTAATTATAGGTGAACATAAAAGTTATCCTACTTATATGAAGTAGCTTATAAATTCTGTCTTCCAAAAGGCTATACAGCAAATACCATTCTTTTGGACCTTCTTTTGATTTTTTTCCTGCGCATTCCTTCACCGTATGCACTTCTATATACTTTAACCATGAGAAATAAGTAGTGTCAAAGTACTGAAAGGCTAACACTACATCATACCATGTGGCTAAGGTAGTGTCTGCAACTGCTATGGGATTTTCAAATGTAAATTGCTTTTTATTTTTCTTATTAACTACATACTTCTGGAACCAGGATGAAAAAGATATGAAGCTATGTGTCTCTTTGGAGTGGAGCGCAGTGGAAATCCTGTCTGTCCTAATGTGTTCTACAGAAATCCTCCTTGCTGTGTGCAATCAAGTAGTTCTACTCACACAGCACATCTTTAAATAAAGAACATTGCCAGCACCTTTTGCACTACTGGTATCCTCTGGAAGCCTAATTTAAGTTATGGTTTCAGAATATAATTGTATTTACTTACAAAGCACTGATTATTATATCCATACTTATTTGCATTCTACACATGTGTTTTGCAAATTGCTTTACAAATAATTGCATCTAAGGGATATGTTTGCAACACATGCTCTTGTCCTCAGTGGCCACTGTTAATTGGAACATGAATGAATGGCTGACTCAGGCTTGGCATCAATTGATGGGTTGGTTGATCAAATTACCTATTAAAAATTTGAGTGAAGACTAAAGACTAGGATCAAGCAGTAGTCGGTAGGCACAGAAATCAAAAAAATTATCTGGAGTGAGACTAGAATTAGCCTTATGAAACTGAATATTATTCAGCCTTAAAGAGGAAGGAAATGTTGACGCATGCCACAACATAGATGAAACTTGAAGACATTATGTGAAGTGAAATAAGCCAGTCACAAAAGGACAAATATTGTCAGGATTCCACTTATATGAGATAAAAAGAATAGTTAAATTCATAAAGACAGAAAGTGGAATGGCAGTTACAGGGATGGGGGGAAGGAGGGAATGGGAAGTGGTTATTTAAATGACTGCAAAGTATCAGTTTGGGAAGATAGAAATAAGTTCTACAGATGGACGGTGGAGATGGTTGCCCACCAATGTGAATAAACTTAACATCACTGAACTGTATACTTAAAAATGGTTAATAGTAAATTTGATGCTGTGTATATATTACCACAATTTTAAAAGTAAAGGAAATCTCTCTGTTAAAAAAATAAAGAAAATGCCACAAGAATATTGACATTAAAAGAGAACAAAACAAAGAGCTTGTGGAATTCTTAGTTTCTGTGGAGCAGTGAAGAGCAGAAACTACAATCTGTACAGTTCCAGGGAAAGCAGATAGGACGATTTTCTGATATTTTGTTCTTGCAGTTGGATTATATGGATACCTTAAACCCCCCTACCCCCCCCCCCCGCCTTTTTTTTTGAGACAGCATCTCACACTGTCACCCAGGCTGGAGTGCAGTGGCGCAACTTCTGCCTCCTGGGTTTAAATGATTTTTGCATCTCAGCCTCCCAAGTAGTTGGGACTACAGACACCTGCCACCCTGCCCAGCTAACTTTTGTATTTTTAGTAGAGATGGGGTTTCACCATGTTGGCTGGGCTGGTCTTTAACTCCTGGACTCAAGAGATCTGCCCACCTCAGCCTCCCAAAGTGCTAGGGTTACAGGCGTGAACCAGCGTACTCAGCCTTTATACCGTTTCAATGGACCTCTGTTTAACTCTGACTTCTTTGATCATAACCAAAGGGTCTTAGCAAGGATTCTTTGGCCAAAAACAATTCAGGAGGAAACATATATCCCATAAGAATATTAGTGCCATGAAATTTGTTCATTATGTTGACCATTGTATTTCTGCTGCTTAGAGCAATATCTATTCCACAGCAGATGCTCCATAGAAAGCTATTAAATCAATAAAATGAAATCTACATGATTGACATGCACATGCATTGCAGAATCTGGGATACCTCACAGATGTTGAAATGAAGACATAGAAGTAGGTTGTGTGGAAGAATAATATGAATATGAGGAAACTTATTTCATTTGCCCTTTCTTTCTTTGTTATCCTGGTGTGAGGTTGCCTTTGCTTTGTTTTGACTTTCATTTCTTTATAGATTTCAAGTTAAGAAACTGAGCCTTGGCTGCCAAATGCCACTCTTCACTATTCTTAACAGAAAGCACTGTAAAGATCTTGAATATTTGACATGCTAAGAACATGTTTTCCAGAGAAATACCCCAGACATTCTCCACAAAGTGCATATAAAAGCACCTTTTAATGATACAACACTCTTCCTCAGATGTTTAGATTTCAAAGACTATTAAAATTTCAAAATAATTTTTGGGTGTCAATTAAGGTTGCTTGTTTTCATTTACCCAAGTAAAAACATTAATCATAGCAAAAAAAAAAAATGGATTTAGTTTCTGTAGGAATTAACGAAAAAGGAAAGAAACACGAAAAGGTGGCTCTCCAGTCAGGACAGATTTATTTTAGAGAAAACAAACCTGAGTGACGTCATCTGGCCAAGTTAGGTCAGAGGCACACTTTCTTACAGACTAAGAGTTTTGAAGGATTCGGGGTGGGAGAGTTTATCAGAGGCTGGGACTGTTTCTGCGTCTTTTTGCTGTGCGTACCTGGCAGGGAGAATTATGTGTCTGTTTCCATACATCTTTTTGCAGCTGCAGGCTTATCCACAGAGTCTGCTTTTGGCTTTCCTATCTTAGTGCACCTGAAGGGAAAGGAATGTGCTTATGAAGGCCCACTGTTTTACCGGGGCCCATGGTATGAGGGTGAAGTTTGGCAGTTCCTTAAGAGACTTTTCCCCCACCTTCCTCTGTGCCCGAGCTGTTTTATCTGTGTTTTACTGTGTGCTCTTTCTGGCTGCTTGTAGTTAGAAGAGAAGTGATTTTCTTGAGACGCATGAGGCTAGAAAGGGAACTGGAATTGAAAGTGGCCGTGCTTGTCCGAGATGATGGTGCTCCTGCTCTATCAGTTTCCGCATTATTTTGCAGCGAAAAATGATAATAAAAAAACTCAGTGCAAAGAACATAATTTCAGAATAAAACATACCTTAAAATGAACATGCTCAGTTTAATGTAAGATTTACTACATTGTTTAATTTTTCTTGTTTGCCAGTGGTGTGATGAAAACTCCACCACTCATGAGAGTGGTTCTTCCTAACCTTTGGTCCAAGATCAGTAAGGGTTGATGGTCTCTTAAAAACACTGTACTTCAAAATCTGAGATTCAGGCCACTAAAGGACCAGTGTTTTTTGTTCTTGCCTTGCCTTGACATAGACCAACTTACTCCAATAACCGGTAATGATTTCATGCAGATGAGTAACGTTGAATGGCAATTACATATGCTTTTGTAATAAACAGCAGTCACTTTAAAGAGTACTTAATAAATGCCATTGAGTTATTGACACAATGAGGGAAATTACTACCCTTTTTCTATTTTATTATTAAAAAAATCTATTTGGCAAACAGCATTGGCAGTTAAGTCAGTGCTGATGGGACTGAAGTAGTAAATTCAACCTCGTTTGATTTTATCTTCTTGACCAGTTCTTTGGTGTGACCTAGCCATATTATGTATAAGAAGGTGCCACTGGCAAGTGAGGCCTAGATCAAAGAGGGGGAATAACTTTCTGTAACATTATCCATATACACCCACACTCTTGTGGCTTTATATTACCACTGAAGTTACCAGTGAAGTTATATTACACTGAAGTTACTATGCATATACAAGGGGAAACCTGTGGTCTGTTATGATACATACCTCTAAAGATACTTAAATTTTAACAACCCACAAAAAGCCCAATCTATGGAGAGTCATTTTACTATTAATGTTAACTGAGTTTCTGCCCAGATTATTTTTCCTTTTAAGGGTGAAACACAGTGGAAGTTGAGGTCTGACTGAATTGCTTTTTAAAAAATTGTAATCAAGTGTTACCTCAGCAGGCAACAGATGGAGGAAAAGCCATTTGATATCAGTTCAGTAGCAATGTGCCCAGCACATGATACGAAGCACAGATATTTACCTGGAATGGCCATGAAGTTGGAAAATGAAAACTTGGAAGAAAGCTATTAAGTTCCAAAACCTCTCTAATGCCATATTGTAAACAGACAGGACAGCCTCCAAGGGGTAGTATTAATACCTGATTCTTTTATGATCTTTTGGTAATAGAGTACGTACAAAAGTGCTTATGCTCAACACTAAAACCTCAAGTCAGAAATGTCTTCTTCTCATCTTCTGAACAATACTTTCAGTTAATGTTTTTTTGTGAAAAATTTCATTTTTTTTTCCCCAGTGGCTCTTTGGAGTTTTACAGCCAATATTTTATTATGTCTTTCATGCATTACATGATGAGAGTACAAACTGCTTCTCACACATCTTTTTATTCCCCTAAAAATATGTGGTTTAAAACATTTGTGTATCAAGTATGTTATGTCACAATAATCCTTCAGATAACTATTTGTTTTCCTGAATGGTTGTCAATTTTAAAAAAATTTGTTTGCTTTTATAATGAGGTAGCGTTTTGCATTCTGACTTCTCTAGAGGCTGTTCCTCACTCAGCAAAGAGAGCAAACATTTGCATGAGTTGTCACTTGAGACCATGAGAATGAATGAAATTATCTGCTCAAAGTGGGATTTCGAGTTTCTAGATGTAAACAGGCCCAGCTCTAACATTTGTGTGACTTGAGGAAAGAGGATGGGCGAAGAATACTTGGTCAAATGTCTAACTCTGAAATTCCTTTCCCTGGTTCCAGCCTGAAGCATGTTTGTGGACACCTCAAACCACAAGTCCCATCTCTGACAACTAATGCCTTCTTTAAAGAGCTGCCCCTCACAGGATATAATGGTACATACATCACAACGGCATGCTCTGCCCTTGGGAGGACAGACTGAGGAAGAGGGCTCCATGCTTCTGTCAGCAGATTTGGGGCTATTTGGGCAGAGAGTTCTGCAGACTTGAGTACCCAGAGGGCAGCATAAAAGTGGATGTATGTGAGTTTGTCTTCATCATTTCAGGCTGCTATAATAAAGTACTATAGACTGGGTGGCTTAAACAGCACACAGTTCTCATAGTTCTGGAGGCTTGAAGTTTGAGACGCCAGCATGGTTGGGTTCTTGGTTAAAACTCTTTTCTAGGCCGGGCACAGTGGCTCAGGCCTGTAATCCCAGCACTTTGGGAGGCCGAGGCGGGTGGATCATGAGGTCAGGAGATCCAGACCATCCTGGCCAACATGGTGAAACCCCGTCTCTACTAAAAATACAGAAAGAAATTAGCCAGGCATGGTGGCGGGCGCCTGTAGTCCCAGCTACTCGGGAGGCTGAGGCCGGAGAATGGCGTGAACCCGGGAGGCGGAGCTTGCAGTGAGCCGAGATCGCGCCACTGCACTCCAGCCTGGGCGACAGAGCGAGACTCCATCTCAAAAACAAAACAAAACAAAAAAACCAAACTCTTTTCTTGGTTATGATCTCACATGGTCTTTCCTTGGTGTGTATACACACACACACATGCACACACACACACACACACACAGAGAAAGAGTGCCCCACACTCATTACCTAATCTAACCCTAATTACTTCCCAAAGGCTTCACCTACAAATATCATCACTTTGGGAATTAAAGTTTCAACATACATATTCGTGAGGTGGGGAGACAGAAACATTCAATCCAGAGCAGAGCTCTAGTTTGGTTATTTCCTGGGCCTCACTTACTTCTTGCTTCATATGGAAAGACACAGCTAGGAGAATGCTATAGCAGGGACCTCTACAGTATAGGGCCAGCGACAGCAGTCTAGTTGCCCAGGTCTAAGGTTGATACTGTCTGTAAGTTTTATTCCTTTGTAAACATAAAGAAAATAAAAATGAGTTATAATTCATAGTTGCACAAAGACAAATGTCCAATCCATATTTGTGAACATTATTATGCCAGCCTGATTAATCCATTTATATTGTTTCCATATGTGGTGGTTCCCAATGACCACACCCTTGTATACTCTCCTCTTCTTGAGTATGAATGGGATCCCTGTCTTAATTCTAACCATTAGCCTTTTGCAAATGTGTTTGGAAATTACTATCTTGATCAGGTAATGTTATATGGCAAAAGTGATGAGTGCTTATACTGTAAAAGATTCCTTCTTAGGAAGCTGGAGAGAATGAATCTCCCTGCTAGTGTTGAAGAAGCAAGCTGTTACGTTGTGAACAGTCTATGGAGAGGGCCACATGGCAAGGAACCGGGACAGCCTCTAGGAGAGCCTCAGTCCTACCATCCACAAAGAATTAAATTCTGCCGACAACCATATGAGCTTGGAAGATGATGCCCAGCTCCAAAAAAGATCATAGGCTGGCTGACACTTTGATTGCAGTCTTGTAAAATTCTAAGCAGAGAACCCATTATGCTATGCCCAGGCTCCTGACACTGTGAGATAATAATTGTGTGTTGTTTGAAACTACTAGGTTTAGTGATAGCTTGTTACACAGCATAAGATAACTGATACATTAGTTTTTTGGAGATTGGGCATTTGTTCTTTCTTGTGTATAGACACTTGTTATATTGGCATTGGACAATCTTTGGGAATCCCCAATTCCCTGAACTGTTTGAGTAAAGTCTTTTAAAACACATACTTATTTGATACTATAGCTGAGCAAAGATTATCATGTTCAAAGACACCCTAGATTTTTTGAAGACTTTGCTTGTGACACATCCCCTTTCCATTTCTTTCTAATCTATTCTTCAAATATGCACTCATTCCTCTGACATCTTCCTGATTTCTTATTTTGCCCCTTGACACAGGCAAAAATAATTTTCTTTCTCTTTAGATAATAAACCACTTTCCATGCTCTCCTTTTAAGACTTTTTTCTTTCTTCTTCTTCTTTTGTCTTAATGCCTTACTTAGTAATTTTAATTGACCTCTTCCTTTCCTAATTAAATTATATTCTCCTAGAGTGGAGAAAGGGGCAGGGGCAGGTCAATTTTTTTTCTGTCTTTATGACCTGTCCTCAACCCAATCATGCCTTGGATACAGTGGGCTCTCTTTTAGCTACTTGCATGTATCAATGAAAGTGATGTTGTTGAGCTACGTAGTTTTCAGCCCATAGATTTCTCAGGAAGATAATCAACTTTTTTTTAGAATCTAAGAAAAAATAATCAGAAGATAAATGTCTCATTAAAACTCAAGTGAGCTTTTCCATCCTGAAACTGACATTACCTTATTGATAGACTTGGTAACTTTGATTCGGCAAATTCTCATTTGCTTGGAAAATTGGATGCCATTAAAAAATACAGCAGCCTTAGAGGGCAGTTGAAGTGAATGATGTGGTTTGATCTATAACACACTGATAAAAAAATGCCTATGGGTATTTTTAGAAGGACAGATAAGCACCGAAATCAAGTGGGAAAATCTGGTGACTAGCTCGTATTTCTGCTCCAGTTATTCCTTCAGCTGGAAAGAGTGAAATGCAGCCTCCTGTGGGTTCTTGTCGTTCTTGGTTGAAGCCCTGGATGTTGGCAGACTGTCCCCACAGGCAAAGTAAAAGGAAGAGTTTAGGCAATTATCAGGGTAATTCAAGCAGTGTGTGTGCTAATAAAGAAAACAGGTGCTTTGAGCTTGGTTGAACCAGCGTGGAATGAATGCCCTGGATAAATGGCCTTCACACTGCTTTCTGTTGCATGACTAGAGGCAACTTGAAATGTCTGCCTTATTGATGCCCTTGCAAATCAAGACAAAGCCTCCTTATGAAAACATCCAGATTGCTCTAAACTCAACCTACTTACAAAAAGATTATAAACCTCAGCCATAATTGCAATATCTTATTACAGTGCAGATTTCCGCTTCAAATAATATTGATGATCTAAGATTTGAATGATAGGAAAGAAATGATTTGAGGATTCAAATGGCTTGTCACAATAGGGAAAATTCAGCTGAGATGCTTTGTGTAGAGGAAACAATATTAGAAGCAATTTGACTTAAAGTTTCAAGAGCTTTCTTTCTTTGGATTAAGTATACCATTAATGTTTGGTAGTAGTGATGGAGTGTCTTGCTCTAACTAGCCTCACCTCACCACCACTGTGCAGAAGTAGTAGAAAGGGTGGCTGACTCCACATACTCCATATACCACTGCTCTTTTAAAAGAGCAGATGTGTTCACTCTTTGTAATATTGATTGCAAGATCCACCCTGGGACAAATAGATATCGTTGAACCAAGCTTTCTCTGCAGAAGTTCCTTAGACGTTAAAGGGAATATCCAAAAGGATCCATGTGATATCTTCACTTGATTTTAACAAACATTTACTGAAGACCAGTCAACAAAACAACGTGCAATGGCAGAGCCCATGAAGTTCCCTTATAGAGCCAGCAAATGGAAATTTTTTTAGCTGAAGTAGGAGGGAGAAAAAGATCACCCCAGATCTATTTACAATCAGCATTTATTAATTCTAACAGAATTAAAGCAGACTAACTCCATGTCAAGGCTGGAATGAAATAACAATGGGCAAATCATGAAGACTTATCTCAGAATCATTTTGAATCTCTCTTCCTCCTGAATTTGAATATAATTGCTGATTATATTTGAGACTGTAGTACAAAATTTCTTTTCTTTAGTTTTTCAAATTTTCCTGAAATGTAAGAATGAATTCTCTTTGATTATTTAACTTCTGTGAAAACTGCCTCCAAGATTTAGCTTTTAGGAAATTTGTCTTATTCCTTAAATAAAAGGATTTGTATGTTACTGTTAAAGATCATATATATTGCTTCATTGCAATTCAGAAAAAAGTATAAATATATAAAGATAACACTCCCCATTCCAATAATACTATTTCTTCAGAAATAAACTTAATTTTTTTTGCCTGAATTTATCTACCCCTTTCTTTATGACCATATTGATATTTGGGTATACAGATGGTCCCCAACTTAACAATGGTTCAACAACGATTTTTCAACTTTATGATGGTTCAAAAGAGATACACATTTGGTAGAAATTATACTTGCAATTTTCAATTTTTCTTTAAATTTTAGAGATAGGGTATTGCTGTGTCACCATAGTTGGAGTGAGTGAGGTAATCAGAGCTGCTACAGCCTTGACCACCTGGGCTCAAATAATCCTTCTGCCTCAGCCTCCCGAGTAGGTGAGACTATTGGTATGTGCCATCACACCAAGATAAATTTTCATTTTTTGTAGAGACGGTCTTTTTATGTTGCCCAGGCTGGTCTCAAATTCGTGGCCCCAAGTGATCCTCCCAACTTGGACTCCCAAGGCACTGGAATTGCAGGCACATACTTTATTTTGAACTTTGATCTTTTTCTGGGCTAGCAATATGTGGTAGGATACTCTTACATTGCTGAGTAGCAGTAGTGAGGCACAGCACCTAGTCAGCCATCAGGAGGTAAACAAGTGGAGGATAAACAAGTGCTACTCTGCAGTGCACTGTGTTGCCAGATGATTTTTCCTAACTGTAGGTTAATGTAACATGTGGCAAACACATTTGAGGTAGCCTAGGCTAAGTTATGATGTTCGGTGGGTTAAGTGTATTAAATGCATTTTCAATTTATGATATTTTTAACTTAATATGGTTTTATCAGGCCATAACCCACTATAAGTCAAGAAGCATCTCTGTAAAGAAATACTGTCTCTTCCACTTCTTTAACTGCGTGAAATTATACAACACATATTATCATCTTTCCATAAAGAGTGAATCCATTCTTTTAATAATTTGTATATACTATAGTTCCATACTTTGGATATAACATATTTTATTTAAACATATTCCTACTAATAAACACCACTTATGACAGCTCTGATTTGATTTTATAACAATACGCAGCAACTATCTACATTTATTTGTCTTCTAATATTTCTCCTCTATGATTGATTCTTAAATGGGAGGTTGCAGGACCAAAGTTATGTATATGTGTGTGATTTCAATGGACACCTAAACACACTTTAACTTATAAACTAAGTACTCACAAGCTACAGAAGGGAGAAGATTGGGCCCCACTGGTCTGTAAAGAAAATAAAAGCCTTCATTACTTCCAGAATCTTAATACCATGTTCATCTTTGAAAATAAGGCAAAAATTATTTTTCTAAAGCACTATATTTTTTATTCTCAGTCTTAATTATATTCCTATATCCAAATTTAAAAAATTCATTTAATTTCACCTGTTGAAAATGGATTACCATTTGCTTCTACAAGTACATAGAACAGTCAATGAGTTAGAGTGAGGCATAATAGCATGCATCTATAGTCCCAACTATTCAGGAGGCTGAGATGGGAGGATTGCTTGAGCCCAGGAGGTCAAGGATGCAGTGAGCTATGGTCGTGCCACTGCACTCCAGCCTAGGTGAGAGAGAGAACCTGTCACTAAAAAATAAAATAAAAACAAAAATAAAAAAATGAAAGCGAGGCAAATGATGTGAGATTGAATTAGGAAACAGGAGATGAAAGTTCTTGTGTAGAAACACTGGTAATCATTTTTGCCTGACTCGTTTTTTGGTTAATTGATTCATCTTTAAACACATTTATTGAACAATCTACTATGTTCCAAGCATGGTGCTGAGCAATAAGTACCATATTTGGAGATTATGCATATACCATATGCATAATTGGACTTCACCAGTCTCTGCTTTACTCACTTTTGGTCTAATAGAAAGTTACTCATCAAATGATAATGTATATGTATTTTAATGAGTATGCAGTTATAAACTGAGATAAATTCCATCTTCAACAAGGTACTTACAAAACAATTTGGCTTCTCTGAGGAAAAATTACTTACAATATTAGTAATAAATAGAATAGAGAGTCAATGAATGGTGAAAGAGCATGGAGAGCAGCCACAGCTACGTGTACAGAGGAGTGCGGGTTATCTGAGAAGTTAACACAAGCATTGTGTAGTTGAGATAAGAGTATGGGGAGAAAGTGTTGGGGAGGGTGAGCAGAAATCAGATCACACTGCCTTGCAGGCCATGTTAACGATTTTTGGACTGTTTTATGTGCAATGAAATGCATTGGAGGATTTTAAGCAGACATTGCCATAGTGAGATTTAATCTTTGACAGTTAAACTTGAAACGTTAATACAAATAAAGACTCTCCTTTTGAGTTATTGACCACTTTTTTTTTTTTTTTTTTTTGAGACAGGGTCTTGCTCTGTCACTCAGGCTGGAGTGCTGGAGTGCAGTCGTGCAATCTCAGCTCACTGCAGCCTCGACCTCCTGGGTTCAAACGATCCTCCCAGGTCAACCTCCGTAGTAGCTGGTATACAGGCATGTGCCACCATGCCCAGCTAATTTTTGTATTTTTGTGTATATACAGGGTTTCACCAAGTTGCCCAAGCTGGCCTCAAACTTCTGAGCTCGGGCAATCCACCCACCTCTCAAATTTCTGGGATTACAAGTGTGAGCCATCATGCCCGACTTTTTCCCTTAAAAAAAAAAAAATTGGTATTTCTTTTAGTAGAGACCATGTTTCACCATGTTGCCCAGCCTGGTCTTGAATTCTTGGGTTCAAGCAATCTGCCCTCCTCGGCCTCCCAACTGACCACTTATTAACTAGAGGTAGTGCTTACTTTCACACACAGTGAATGCATGTGCCATTACATGAAATTGATCCGTGCAAAAATTTACTTGTGCCCTTACACTTTATAAGAAGTGTTTCAATAGAGCCACAACCAAGTATAAATCCCACAATTTTATTTTAGATACGGCCATTATCAATATATATTTAGACTGTTTATATGTTACTTAATTTCCTTTTTTTATTTCAAGTTATCATAACACCGGCCAGAGACTGAATATTTACATAACAATTTCTAGTTTTGTATTGAATTGGTGAGCCTAAAAATTGTTATTACTAATATTAGCACAGTTTTAAATTTTTTAATCTTTTCATAAGAATGGCAAAATACAGCAAATTGTTAATATGATTGCATAAGTTAATAGTGACTGTGGCCACTTGCAGTTACATTTTTGAACAGATCAATTTCATGCAATGGCAGACAGGAGATTTAATGATTCCTGCTTCTTTGTGTTCATGCTGTTATGTGATCCCCTACCCCGAGTGTGGGTGACACCTGTGATTTGCTTCTAAGCAATTTAACAACGAAAGTGACAGGATGTACATCATTATTTGTATATAATTATATGATTAATTTACATAACATTGCAGTGCTGGACTTGCTGGAGGAAGGACTCACCTTGAGGAAGCAAGTGACCATGTTGGGAAACCCCATGTTGTAAGGAATTGTGGGTGGCCTCTAGGAGCTGAGTGTAGCCTCCAGGAAACAGTCAGCAAGCTCTCATTACTACCACTGCAGGAGACTGAATCCTGCCAACTACATGAGTAAGTTGGAAAGCAGAAACTTCCTCCCCTGAGCCTCAGATAATACTGCAACCCAGATAAATTATCCCTTTTTTGCAGATTCCTGAGCCATGGACACTGTGAGACAATGAATACGTGATTGTTAAGCTTCTAAGTGTGTGGCTATATTGTTGTGCAACACTGAATGAATAATATGATTCTGATGCCAAAATCGCACTGTGCAGAGGAAGAAGTATCACCACTCAATGAGTAAGATGTTACTGGATGGTCAATACATGAGAAACGGAATTCAGCCTGGGAAACTTGGTTTAGGGAAATCCATGCATTGTTCTGAAACGGTGTGTTCTCACAAAATCAATTGTATTAATGTAGAAGAATAGTTGCCAGTTATTTTGGGCAAATCACAACTTCCCTGGTTTTAGCTTTTTTCTCATCTGTAGAGGGATAATATTTGTCCTTCCTGTATGGAGATTGTGATAAGATTAAATTGAGATCACTGTAATTCAACAATCAAGTTTACACTTGTACGGTGCTTTCATATATTATGCATGGGCTCCATTGACAATTGTTGAATCCTAGCTATTCAAGTGAGAGCATCAACATAGTACAAATGAGCTCTCCTCCATTCTCTGTGACCCACTATCACTAATACATCTGACATGCACAGATTCTCCAGTCAGAGTTCCTGATTTTCTCTCTATGTCTGAGTTTGTTAATGCTGTTGTTAAAACACTCACAGTGTGGCCCTTCATTTTACCTGTGGCAGGTGTATTATTCCAGTCTAAGTTACAGGAATTCTTGTAGATGAGTTACCTGCTTTACCCTTAAACCTTATTCTCTGATGCAGTGGTGTACTTGAAATTCTCTTTTGTAAAATCCAGTGCTTTCCGTTTGTTCATGCTTTGCCATTAATATTCCCTTCACATTTGCAAGCTTGTCACAAAATATGAATTTATTTTCAATCTATCACCATTTGTGCAAATGCTGTTGTCACTGAAGGGTAAAGATATAGACAGAATTTAAATGCATAATATCACAAATGTTTTCTAAGCCTTTTTATTAATGCAGTTCACAGCACAATTAACATAAATAATATTGTTTTTAGTCTACTGGTTCCCAAAAGCATTAAGATGCAAAAGCAGACTGTGGGGGGAAAGGATTCTCAATATGGTTAAAAAGATGTTACTGACTGCATGCAAAATGTGGTTCAACTGCTCCTGTAATAATAATAATAATAATAATATCTGCATTATTGGAGACCTTTTCATTGTTGTTCATGTGTTTTTCCTATTGGATGATGTTTCAGCTTATAAAGCATCCTTGCTATCTGGGTGAACCATCTGTGATAGCTCCATTTAAACTGATTTTCTTTTTTTGTCAATGACAAGCCCACATGGGAAAGAGTAAGCAACATAGACAAGTGTTCAATTTGATGGATATCATTATTTCTTTAAATCAAGACTTGGAAAAAACTTTATTTAAATTAAGAAGTATCCCTGAAAATTGCAGTCCTCAGGAAATAAGTTCTTTTAGGTTTCAAATTAACTTAATACAAAATGTATCATCTATGTAGCCAGTAATGAGCAGGAAAGAACATAATGACTATAACTTCTTGAAACATCTTAACTAGATTTTCAAGATTTTGCTGTCCCAATAAATGGGAATTAATGACAAAGCAAATATATTTATTTAATGTAAATATTTTGTTTCCTTAAAAATTTAGCAAAACAACATAATTCACATAATTACCCAGAAGTGATCCAAAGGAAAACTGAGTCTTGGTTAACATTTATTATATGCTTACTATGTGCCAATTTATATTTGTATGTCTCTACACAGATTACACAGTTTATTCTTTACAATTAATCCTATCAAGTGTGCATTATTATCATCACCACTTTACAGATGAGGAATGTGAGACAATGAGATGTTAGGCAATTTAGCCAAAGGCCAGACAGTTGGGATTCAAATCCAGGCCATGTAGGAGCTGACAGTTGAATCCAGGCAGGTGAATTAAAATCTAAGCCAACCATGAATCTTTGGCATAGTGAAAGTAGGGCAGATTTTGTAACCAGTATGAACTGGAGCTAAGACCTGACTCTGCTACCCAGTAAAGGTCTGATCTTGGGAATTTAGCTCCCTCTTCAGTGAAGGTTGCATTTGAAAATAAGACAATAAGACCCAGGATTACATGAATGTGGCTCAAGTTTCTTCCTCGCATTTTGGAACCCCATGAGGGTGATAATAGTACATCACACCAATAATTTCCTAAATCCTTTCCCAGAATCCTCCTGCCTTCTTTCCTATGCCCATTCTTTTTTTTTTCTTTTGTTTTTTCTACACCCATTCTTGAAATGCAACAGATGAGGAGGGGTGGAAAGGATATTGAGAGAGTCACACCAAAATTCTTCTTAGTGGGCAAAAAGAAAGCTATAGTGTGTAGCACTCATCCATTATATGCTTTTGTTTGGTTACAACATTACTGTTATACATTTAGAGGCATCCACAGTATATATTTTGGAGACTCCAAAGGTTGAAAATGCTACAGTTTAAAAGTTGGCCCTCTTATATGAGAAACAAAAGTATGTAGACTCATGATAACTTTATGTGGCTTTCATATTAGACCATTCCTTCTAATGGAACTCATGTGGATAGGCAGGGATAACATTAAAGAACAAGATTCCTAATAGATTAGTTGAAGCTTGTCTGAACAAATATCAAGATGGGCTGTTTGGTTTGAACAGTAAAGCCTACGCTATTGTTTTGAGGTTTTGATATAGATGAGAGGATCTGTGTGAGATATATTGATGCTTAATACCAACTTACTGGGTAACAACAGTGCTTTACTAAGTTTGGAATTAAGGTATAATTTCATCTTTACTCTTAAGTGATCCAATGAACAACTCATGAGTAAGCATTTTCTCTACGCCTCATGATAGCATCACTTTTAAGCCACATATATTGAGGAGGGACACCTGGCAGCCAATGTGTAATACCGTGTGCCTCATCTCTTCAAACCTTCACCTACTCACCACCTGTCAACAACTTATCTGCTTACTATTTCTATAATTTTCTAGAATGTCACTTAAATCAATTCATCCAGTATGTAACTCTTCAGACTAGCTTATTTTATTTAACAATGACGTTTAAGATTCGTCTGTGTTTTCAGTGGCTTGATAGCGTATTTCTTTTTATCATTAAATGTTAATAATATTCTACTGATGAGTGTTCCACTGAATAATAATATTTCATTGGACAGTAACTTACAGTATGTTTATCCATTCGCCTATTGAATAACATCTTGGTTGCTTCCAGTTTTGGATCATTTTGGATAACGCTGCTGTAAGTTTTCATGTACAGGTTTTTGTGTGGATGAATTTTCGAATTAGTTGGTTAAATACTTAGAAAGGCAACTGCTGGATCATATGCTAGGACTATGTTTAGCTTTCAAGACGCTGCAAAACTGTCTTCCAAAGTGGATGTACTATTTTGTATTTCCACCAGCAATGAATAAGAGTTCGTGTTGCTCCGCATCCTCCCCAGCAGTCGGTATTGTCAGATTTTTGGATTTGAGCCACTCTAATAGGTATGTAATGATACCTTATTGTTGTTTTAATTTGTATTTCTTTAATGATGAGTTTTGAACATCTTCCTGTGTGCTTATTTCCCACCTGTATATTTTCTTTGATTAACTGTCTGTGTAGATCTTTTGCCCATTTCAAAATGTGGGTTGTGTGTGTTCTGAATTTTGAGTGAGCACCTGTTTTTAATGTATAATTTCAAATTATAAATAAGAGTAGAGAGGACTATCTATATGAGCCTGGCACTCTGGCATGCATCATCTCATTTTTAGCCTCAACCTATTCCCATGAGGCAATATTATGTTTCTCTTTTCACACCTGAGAAGTCTGAGGTTAAGTGATAAAACCTAATTTTTAGAGGCTACAGAGCCAGTAAGAGGTAAGACAACCCTTTCTTAATAAAGTCTAAAAAGTAGTTTTTATAACCATCAGGCCTAACAGCCTTCTTTTTGTTACAAATATTTTTATATCCCATTTACTCACAAAATGATATTCATAAATAGTATAACCTAATTAAATACAAAATCAAGCAAATCAATATAAAACCTTGTATGTAATATGGAGGAAAAGTAAAAGGAAGGAGGAATAAGAGGAAAATAATGAAATAATATGTGTTTATATATTGAATACTTTTGCATGATTATATTAGGTACAATACTAATAATAAATAAACCCACTTATAATAAATACATTTATTTGTAAGAATCCAGAAGCCTTTTCATATAATAGTCTCAGGAAGTTAGTAGAATTTAAACAAGAATGTGCTAGAATAAAATCTAATGTTAGATTAACTATTAGCCAACTAGACTTACTTGAGAATTACACAAGAAGGAAAGATAATGCTTTGTGCAATAGGAAAAACATGCCAGGATAAATTTTAAAATCTAGAAATGAAGAAATAAAGTAACATGAAGTCTTTGCAAGCAAGAGGTATTCAAAAGTCATGCAGTGTGTGGCAAAAGTTTTTAATGGATAAAACTTCTTTACGCATTTTGGATGTTTAAAATACCCAGCTACTAGTTTCCAGTCATATGCTTCATTCATTGTAACAACTTAAATCATATTCCAATTTCTTTACTGCCTCATTCTAAAGCCATACAGTAATTGGTCTAATTTGTAATATGTAATTTGGGGATTACTGTGACATGCCAGGTTATAAAATTTAGGAACGTTTGAGACTATTTTGGAAATATTAATTTATGGCAATAGAAATGTCAAAAATTAGTAAAGTTCAGTGTTTAAATTTGCCAACTTGTGGCCTTGAATCAAATGGGTCTTATCTTTGGTAGCACGGGCACTTTATAAAATTAGTAAAATACATTAGCTAGAATAGAGTCAGATACTAAATATTTGGAGCAAAATTGGCCAAAAATTCTTTAAAATCATCTCTTTGGCTTTGCTTCATGAGTCCTTCAGCTGAAGATTACCCTTATAATAGTAACACTGAAGGATGGGATGTAGAAAAATCATTGCTTTTACTTTCATAAACATCCAATACATATTATTTTAGTTACTAAGAAATACGCTAAGTAGCCATGGAGGATAACTATATAATCAAAAAAGTTCCCTTCTTTCAAATTTTTAACTTATTTGACTATAATCTGCAAGATTAAGTCAATGTGACATTCAAAATCTTAAAATGCCAGTATGACCTTGACATTTTTGAATTTATCTGAATTTTCTTGGCATCTATTTATATTTTCATCCTGGGTCACCTCTTGTGGTCATGCATTTTATAGATTTATTCCCTGTTCTATCAAACAAGTCTTGTGTTTATTATCATGCTAGCCAGATAAATTTTTATCATGCTAGCCAGATAAACAGACTACAAGTGCAGTCAAGCTAGAGTGGGAGTGTAAGGGGTTCCAGGGATTTTGAGTCTGAGCAAGAAAAAAGATGTGGCCACGAGGTGGCAGCAGAAAATACAAGCTTTTTTTTAGGTGACCCTTTGACAAATTTGCATGTAGGGGCCATGACAGGGGTGCCACCCAGAAAGGCAGGAAGGCTAAGAACTCCTAAGGGAGATACAGATCAGAAAGGGAGCACCTGTCTCCGTGATATCACTCAACAGCATGGGGAGACTCTGGGTCAGAGAGCTGCAAAATGCAGCAGTGGCATGGGGTATGTATAGAGAAGGGCTTAGCTTACCTATGACTAGCAGATGTTGGCACAGTTTTGTGGGGTATGCAAAGCAAGCAGGCTCTAAATGGCTAAAAAATTCTGCTTATTATGGCCGTGTTGAAACAACTGGACATACAAAATTCAGGTTTGGTGCCACAGAGCTTTTAAGCTAATGGGTCTCATCCAGATGTGAAGAAATAAACAGCCCAGTGGCCAACGTACAGAGGCCAACT